>NC_000009.12:98220552-98372067 GCF_000001405.40 Homo sapiens
TAA
Organism: Homo sapiens; assembly: GCF_000001405.40. Classification (NCBI taxonomy): domain Eukaryota; kingdom Metazoa; phylum Chordata; class Mammalia; order Primates; family Hominidae; genus Homo; species Homo sapiens. Next base: position 98,220,556 of record NC_000009.12, read on the forward strand.
TCTAGAGGCACCTTCACTTTTCAGTAGCCCAGGATACCAGGGCTACTGGTTAATGGGTCAATCAAGGCCCAGGCAAACTGCACTGGGCCTTGTGGTAAAGAAAGTGAAGAAGCGTAGAGCAATATTCCCATCAACATGTGTTTCTAATGTGAATATTCTAGGATGAAGGGGTATCCCCACTCCACCTAGCAAACCCTTAGGGGTGGAGAGCGCACCTTCCCTGAGGGCTGGGACAGAGGACCGGCAGGACTGGCAGGCCCTGAGGGGAGGCCCCTACCTTCAGGTGCTCTATCTTCCCCTGCTGGCTCAGGAAGTCCCTGTTGGCAGCGTCGGGGCGCAAAGGAGACTGGTCAGGGGGGTGCGTGAAGTCCTGGGTGACCTTCTCAGAGAGCTTGCAGATGACCTGCTGCTTGGCGTGGTTCTTGTCCATAAGCAGCTGCACGTGCTGCTGTAGCTCCTGCACCTGCTGCTCCCGCAGGCTCGCTGTGTGCGCCAGGCTCTCCCGCTCCTGCTCCAGGGCCTCCACCCGCCGGCCCAGCTCCGCGATCTGCCGCACTTTGTGCCGCACCAGCTCCAGCCGGTCCTTGTCCTCAGCCGCCGCCAGGTATGCGCTGGACGCCCGCTTCTCCTGCTGGGCGGCCTCCAGTGCCTTGTGCAGGATCTTCACTAGCTCCTGGGCAGGGAGAGGGAAGAATCTTGTGAGCTCAGGGAGGGCCTGCTGGGCGCCACAGTGGGGTATATGTTATCAGTAGTTCTCCTAACAACCGTGAGAGGTGCCCAGCAGCATCCCTGCGGCATCTCATCCTGACACTCACTTTCTCCTTCTCTGTTCAAGTGACTGTTAGCTGGGCACATGGTTCCCCAGCTTAAAACTGCATCTCCCAGCCAAGCCATGGTGAGGTGTAGCCAAGTAACTATTCTGCCTAAATGGGAAATGAAAAGTGAGATGGGCAGCTTCTGGGTCCTACCTTTAAAACCACTAGATACACGCTCCTCTGGTCCAGTTCTCTTTGCTTCTGGCTGGGAAGTGGCAGGAACTAGAGTGGCCGCCTCAGACCCACAGCAGAAGGTACATGTTGAGAAAGGGCTGCCCCCCAGCTCAGAGTTGCTCACCTACCTCTGGGTTCTTTAATGTGAATGAGAAACCTCTCACTCGTTTTGGGCCACAGTGCTTTGAAACTTTTTTTTTTTGAGATAGCGTCTCCCTCTGTTACCCAGCCTGGAGTGCAGTGGCACAGACATGGCTCACTGTAGCCTCAATCTCCTGGGCTCAGCTGATCCTCCCACCTTAGCCTCTCAAGTAGCTGGGACCACAGGAACATGCCAACACACCAGGCTAATATTTGTATTTTTTTGTAGAGAAGGGGTTTTGCCATGTTGCCGGGCTGGTCTCAAACTCCTGGACTCAAATGATCTGCCCACCTTGGCCTTCCAAAGTGCTGGGATTACAGGTATGAGTCACCACACCCAGTGGAGATGTTTTTGTCACAGCAGCTGAACCCATACCCTGACATATACACATCCATTTCAGGGATGAACAAACTGAGGCCCAGCAGAGAGTAGAATGGAATTCAATCTCAATTGGCTAGATTCCAAAGCCTGTGCTCAGTAACTAAGAAAACCAGGGGTGGCAGCTATGTGGCATTACTCTTCCCTCTCATCCCTGTGGCAGACATCACTAATTAATCTCCCATACTTCTTCCTGCACAGCCTACCCTAGTTGAGGCCTCAGAATCATTCTCAATATAGCAGCCAGTCACTACCAATCAAGTTGAGTCAGGGTTAAAGAGGAAATACACTGGCAATCCCCATGTAAAGCCACACACAGAGGACCTCATTCAAGCCATTTGTGCCTAGTTACCTTCAGCCCACCAGCCGATGCCTGCAAAGCTGGTGGAAGGAACTCTAGAAAGTTCAGAAACAATAGAGCTTGATTTATTCCTCAGCAGGGGCAACTAATTCACACAGGAACTCAAGGTCTGCTCAGCTCCCTGTGCCTTTAAGCCTGTAATTTCCCCAGGGAGGGCCACGCCTGGACTCAGGCCTATCTGTCCCAAAGCAGGGATGTGAATTTGTTCTGGGCCAGGATCAGGACATCAGCAGCCAGGTCCACGTGGAACTAATACCAGGTAGGTATGACTTTCAGGCAACACTGCCCTGCTCTGTGCTTCTCATTTGGAAAAACATGGTTTCCTAGAGACATGTCAACTATACCACACCAAAGTATTAAAATGAGTGGATTGGCTGGATAGCCTTATTTGCTAAGAACAATTCTATATTGGAGGAAAACTGCCAAAAACCATGACTTTTTTGGAGAAGCTAATGACAAGACCACATTAGCCTGCATCTTCTGAAACCTTAGGACTAGTGACCATCCTTTCTCTGGTTCTCTCTTTTCCTTCCACATGCCCATCCATCCATCCAACCTTTACCAAGCACCACTCGGTGCCAGGCCAGGCCCTGAGCCAGGTGCCGTGGCCCAGAGAGGGAGTGGTGAGAGTTCCCACCTCCAAGGACTGCAAAGGCTGGTGGGAATGAACATGACCCACCACAGTGGAATGATCTACTGCAAGTCAGGGGAACAAGGGTGTTTGTGGGAAAGGCAATGACTTCTGTCTGGGGTGGAGGTTGTGGGGAATACCAGTCCAGAGCATTTAAAAGAAACTGTGAAGAATGAGAAGGGCCAGAGATGGTCGAGCAGCAGGTGGGAGATGAGGGTGGGGATGGCCCTCCAGATGTGGCCAAGCTACAGCCCCAGTAAAGACCTGGAGGAAGGAAAGAGCTACCATGGAGCTGTGGGAGCCCTGGGGTGTGGCAGGAAGTTGGGGTGAGGACAGCACAGTGATTGCAAACCAAAAGGGAATGTTTGGAACGTCCAGAATGAAGAAGTCAGCTTCTCAGGGCTCAGTGGAGAGAGATTAACATTCCTGTGGTTCCAGGAAAACTGGGGGCCTAGGCCATTTTCTGCTTCAGCTGAGATTTGGAGGTTACCTTGGATGACTGCCCAGGGAAATAACCAACAGACATCATTGTTCAGACTTGCCCTAGGAGCAGGACCAGTGGGTGTCTTTCCCTCAATTTGGGGAGTTAGTTGACTCTGAAGCTTATTTCATTACATCTAGCTGTCTCCTTCCCGCATTTGGCTCCCAGAATCTAAGACTGAGACACCAGCCCAGGAGGCTCTCCTCCCACCCCCAGAATTCTTGTACCAGAATAAAATAGGCTTAAAAGAACGGAACCAGGGCAGAGGGAGGGAGCCTCAGTAGGACTTGTAAGATGAGGAGTGAGAATGTCATGAATTCAAGAAACCTAAAGTCTGGATTATAAGCAATGTCTTAGGACCAATTCTTAAAAATAGGTTGGGCCGGGCGTGGTGGCTCACGCCTGTAATCCCAGCACTTTGGGAGGCCAAGGCGGTCGGATCACGAGGTCAGGAGATCGAGACCATCCTGGCTAACATGGTGAAACCCCGTCTCTACTAAAAATACAAAAAAATTAGCCAGGCGTGGTGGCGGGTGCCTGTAGTCCCAGCTACTCAGGAGGCTGAGGCAGAATGGTGTGAACCCGGGAGGCGGAGCTGGCAGTGAGCTGAGATCGCACCACTGCACTCTAGCCTGGGCGACAGAGCGAGACTCCATCTCAAAAAAAAAAAAAAGAAAAGAAAAGAAAAGAAAAATAGAGGGGTTGATGAAATTAAGCTTTTTGAAGTGTTTTTTTTTCTTTTCTTTTTTTTTTTTTTTTTTTTGAGACAGGGTCTCACTCTGTTGCCCAGGCTGGAGTGCAGTGGCGCAATCACGGCCCACCGCAGCCTCAACCTCCTGGGCTCAAGAGATTCTCTTGCCTCAGTCTCCCTTGTAGCTGGGACTACAGGCATGCACCACATTGCCCAGCTAATTATTTTATTTTCTGTAGAGACAGGGTCTCCCTATGTTGTTCGGGGTGGTCTTGAACTCTTGGGCTCAAGAGATCCTCCCACCTTGGCCTCCCAAAGTGTTGGGGTTATAGGTGTGAGCCACCATGCCCGGCCCAAGTGGTACTTTTAATATTTCTCAATCGAGTTGTTTGGTTCATCTCAGATTTTGATACGTGGTCATAAGTTGTCACTTTATTTAAATTTTTAAAAGCCAATAAATCATCTTTAAAAAATAATCCTTTATCTTTTTAGAGCATTGCTACTTTCATCAGTGGTGGGCCCTACAGGGGTCAGATGAAGGGGCATGGGCTTTGGAGTTGCACAGGCCTCGGTTCCCATTCTGGATCCGTGGGGGGTGTATCTAACGAGGTGACTCTAAGGAGGGTAGCTCAGGTGGCCTCTTCATTGAACCTCAGCTTTCTCATGAATGGGGCTAAAGCTTCCTCTTCTGCTCAGAACTGCCTCTAGCATGAAAGAGAAAGTGCCAAGTGTCCCTCCCCAAGCTGACATGGCCAAGGTACCTCCCAGCCCTCTTTCATGTCCTCTGAAGTTTTTGGCTGGAGTTCTAGGAAAGTAAGAGGCTATACGTTGCCCCACTGAGTTTCCTAAAAAATTACGTTCCTTTACCCAGTAATCCTGATTGAACTAAGGTGGCCCCAGAGGGCCGCAGGCAGGGTCCCAGAGGGGTTCATCATTCCCAGCCGCCAACAGATGGCCAACATCACCACAGACAACAGCCTTCCATCTGCCAGAGCAGACGGCCTTCAGGCTGGGTGGAGTTCTGTCAACTCCAAGGGTCAGTCCCCGGCCAATCAGCCATCTGGTGCTATCTCCTAGAGCCCAAACCTCTTGTGGGGCCAGTGCTGCAGGTATGGGGACAGATAATGGCTTAATGGGTATTGAAGTCAACCTGTGGTTTAATATGACACCAGGGGGTACACAGGGAGTGCATTCATTTTTTCTCAAGAGCAGTTTTGGTGCTTGTGTCTCATAGTGGGCCTCACCATGAGACTATGGAAGAGAGGAGGCAGCCCAGCCTCTAGACTTGGAGAAGGAGGTTAGGGCCCCAATCCTGGCTTTTCCAGCTGCCTGCGCATGGGCAAGTCACCCAACTCCTCTGAGCTCCTCAAATGCTGGCTTAGCCCCTGGGAGACCCTGAGCATGCAGACACTCTGAGAACCTCAGTTTCCCTTTCAGAGTAAGGGGATGAAAACTATTGTAAGGACAGAGATAACACATGGGAAGGCTCAGCACAGTCCTGGGGCCGCGCTTCATACCAGCAGTTCCCATGCTCACATCTTCTCTTCCCCACTAGATGGTGAGGTGCCCAAGGGCAGGGATTTGTCTGCAATGTGCTCTCAAGAGCATCTCGCAGTGTTTGAGATAGAAATTCCTAAAGAGTCACGAAAGCCACTGGCAATGGCCAGATCAGCTAGGATAAGACCCCAAATTCCCATGTCCTCCTGAAGTTTGAGGTAGACAGGAGGTGCCTTCCCACTAAAGAAACACAGGAAGGTACCTCGCAGGGGTAGCTCCTGGGATTCCAGGTGCCCATCTTCCCAGCTGATGAATGGGACTCTAATGAGGGTCTCAGATGGACAGCGGCTCTCCTAGCGGCATTCTGAGTGCCTGGGGGCACCACTGGGCACCCAGAAGTTGTGCTGGCTTTTTCTGTCTCACCTCTTTGGTTTCAGTATCTGGGCTACAGGTGAAACCCTAGAGTTACGGGGCTGCCATTCCTCCCTTCCTAATGTGGAATGAAGACCTAAGCTCCCTGATCACTGCTATGGCCCCACGGCACATTTCCTGAAGGCACTGATGGGCTCTCACTTCCCGCCTCGTCTCTGAGCCCCTCAGCAGGGCACCTCACTGCTTGTAGGGCAGGAAGAGATTGACATGGAGGGTAAGGAGGGCTGCAGTAATCGCCAGAACAACCAGAGCCTGCATCTGTTGGGCAGCTGCTGGGTGCCAGGTACTGGGCTTTATGAATCTGGGCACAGGTCTCTCCAGTAAACACGGCTGCAACTCCATTTACAGAAGAGGAAACTGAGGCTTAGATAGGTTAAGAAACTTGCTTAGGGCCAGAATTTGAGCCTGTGCTGTCTTATTTAAAGGCTGGTTCTTTGAATCACCCTGAAGACTGAAGTTCATTTGTGGAATGGGTTGGAGAGTAAACAAATCCACTCCTATTGCACAATAATTGGATAAACTAAATAAATCACAACTCATTCTCCTTTTGACCCTCTGTCCCAGGACACAAAGTCGAGGTTTGGTGGAAGGTTACCTGGTAGAAAAAAAATCCAGATTCTTCAATGCATCAACAACTTCCTCCTGACAATTTCCCTCTGAATATATGGGAGTTGTCAATAGCCTGGTCAACCCTTATTAATCTCCAAGAATCTTGCCTTTATTTATTGAAGAATGATGAGTCCTCCAGAGATGCAGAGCAATCAGGGGCAAACTTTCATGAAATCTAGGTTTCCTGGGGCCTTTCTACTTCATCTGACAATTTGTAATGTCTTAGAAAGAAAGGCTGTGTCAAGAGAGGCTGCCCGTATATTCAGGATTTCTTTTTCTTTCCAGGTTTGGGTTTCGGATTTAAGCTCTACTAGTCCAGGGATCAAGTAGCTGCTATGGCTCTGTTTCATGCCCTCTCAGCTCTCAGGAGCGTCCAGCAGCCTCAGAACTGGAGCACCATGATGACAGGAGGAAAAGACAGCTGGGCTGCTAAGCAGCAGCAGAGGGGACCTCACGTGTTATAACTACACATTTGGGTGTTGCTTTGTTTAATGTCTGTCTCTGCCATGAAATGCAAGCTGTAAGGGCAGAGCCTGTGTCTTTTGCTCATTGTTCTTTCCCAGCACCTGGAACACTGCATGCACATAACAGGCCCTTAATAAAAATTTGGTGAATAAACACATGAGTTAAGAACGTATGAATAAATGAGCCCCCTCCTTTGAGAACTCTAATGTCTAATCACCAGTTGCTTCACTAAATGTAACTCCTGGCCAGGCACGGTGGCTCACGCCTGTAATCCCAGCACTTTGGGAGGCTGAGGTGGGCAGATCACTTGAGGTCAGGAGTTCGAAACCAGCCTTGCCAACATGGTGAAACCTAGTCTCTAATAAAAATACTAAAAACAAAAACCAAAAAACAAAAAAAAATTAGCTGGGCATGGTGGCAGGTGCTTGTAATCCCAGCTACTTGGGAGGCTGAGGCAGGAGAATCGCTTGAACCCGGGAGGCAGAGGTTGCAGTGAGCCAAGACTGCACCACTGCACTCCAGCCTGGGTGACAGAATGAGACTCTGTCTCAAAAAAAAAAAAAAAAAAGTAACTTCTGACATGCCAGGAATGAAGCCTCTGCCGGTTCCCCTGAGATCTGCTGACAGTGGTCACTGCTTAGGGGCAGAAAAGGCAGACGAGGGGCCAAACTAGGTATAGGGAGAGCATTTTTTCTAGATTTCTTCCCACCAAAATAGGGCAGAAAAGAAAAGAAGAAATGTACAAGTTATAAGAAATATTCAGAAGGTAATAGGGCATAAGCCCCACCTCCCCAGCCTAAGTCCTCTGGAGTCAGGGCTGGAAAACAAAGCAGAAAGGGCCTCCGGGCAGCCAAAGTTCAAACACAAAAGCTTAGGCCTTCCTCTAGAGGAAAAGGAGTCTGGGCCCTCACTGGAGCCCGCCACTGCCACCACAGGTCCTACCAGGCCCCACCGTTGGGATTTATGTAACAACTGCCTAACTTAGTCGCTTTTATCACTCTAAAGAGGGGCTCCCGCCCGGAGCTGCAGCCCTCTCACATCTTTGCCCTGGGACCCTCACTACTTCATAAGGTAGCCCCTGGCTTTTAATACCATTTACTCTCTGGGATGTAGGATTTTGGAGTAGTTTTAATGTCTGTGTGTATGAGATCTGTTTTCTACAATTATTATATAGCTCTTGTAACTCTCGTAATTAACTTCTTACCATATTAAGCCCAAATATTCCTTTCACTGTTTCTGTGTTGGTCCTGGCTTAGCCCTGGGCCACACACATGCTGCTTGTTTGCTTTCTCCTGTGACAGTCTTGTGACGGTCATTCAGATATCTGTGCCCAGATATCGGCTGCCAGGTCAAAGTTCCCCCCAGTTCTATCGACAGCCCCTCCCATGACCCTGCATCCAGATCACCTGCCTCTAAATAATGTCATTTTCTGGGTAGGGGGTGAGACCATGCATGGCCCTCCAGGAGGGGTCCAAGAGACAGTTATTAGAGTAGATCTCCAGAGATACCTGCCCTTGGTGCCCTTTTGTGACTTACTTTGAGTGACATCAGGTTCTTGAGTAATCAACAGCATATTTCAACATTCTGCAGTTTGGCCTTTAAAGACCAGAGAGTAGCTGGTGCCCAGCACGGCTAATGCGTCCCATCTAGCTTATCCGAAAGGCTCCAGGAACTGGAGGGGTCCACTGGAACCTGGGGCCTCCCTGGGACCAGACCTCACCTTCTGAGACTTTAACTCCTTGGTGAGCATCAGAACCTGTTGCTCCAAGGCTGCCACTTTCTCCTGGGCAGTTCGGTTCCGTGTGATTCCTTCAGAAAAGAATGGGAAGGTGTTGTTCTGGCGCTTGGCTTTCTGAGCGAAACTGATGGTCAGAGAAGGCTTGGGTGCAGGCTTTGGAGAATCCTCTGGCTCTCTCCCTGCTCAAGAGGAGAAACGCAGAAGTTATGACTGATGACATCAGCAGTTCTCAAACCTGAGCTTGCTTTAGAAGCACCTGGAGGGCTTGTTAAAATGCGGATGGTTGGGCCCTAATTTCGGAGCTCTGGATTTAATAGGTCTGGGGCAGGGCTTGAGAATATGCACTTCTAAAAAGTTCCTAGGTGATGCTGACACAGCTTGTCCAGGGGTTAGACTGTGAGAACCACTGGCCTACATAAACGTTATTGCACTGTGCTGGCCCATCTGCTAAACTGTGCCTGTCTCCTTCCTTCAGATCCCACCCAGCCTGCATTGGTCTATCTCATGCCACCCTGCTGGTGTTTGCCAAGTGGCTTTCTCCTCAGGCACAAGCCCTGGCAGGATGTTCTGTTCCTTATTTCAGGATCCCACCTCTATGTACTAGGAGATTTTCAAAGCACACAGATCTGTCTGATGATAGGAACACAAAATGAATGTCTGTACTCTGCATTCTTGCTCCAGAGAGCAGCTCAAGCATTTAACTTGATTCTTCTTATTCCAAGCTAAGTTAAGAGATATATTTCCCCCACAGTTGATTGTCTCAAGGATGCATAGTCCTTTTATCTCCTGGGTTACAACCTATGGTTCACAGGCCAAATCCAGCCCACAGCCTGCTTTTACAAATAAAGCTTTATTAGAACACGGCCATGCCCATTTGTTTATGTGCTGTCTATTGCTGCTTTTACTCCTCAAAGGCAGAACTGAGTGCTTAAAACAGAAACCCTATGGCCCACAAAGCCTCGAATCGTTACTATCTTGCTCTTTACAAAAAATGTTTGCCACCCACTGTTTTTAAGTCATCAAAATTTTATTCTTAAATCAAACCAAACATCAGAGAATCATTCCCTTGTGTTGCCTTGTCCTGCCCTGACCCAGCTGTGCTTCTGGTCTCTGCCATCAGCCTGCATCAAGGGACATTTAAGGGCCTGACTATGTAGCCAAGGGCCCTTGAGAAGCTTGTTCACATGGGATATATACATCATGCCTATTATGAGTCCCCAGCAGAAGAAATTCCCTTCAGCCCTAGGAACTTCCAAGAAAAGCTTTGCTTCTTATAAGAAAATATGTTTTTAGTCTTATGGACACTGGAAATAATCTAGCTGCTTGCATTTCCCTCTTTGCCTTGGCTGCTGAGCTTACAGCCACATTTACTGCCTACTCTCAGATATTTTGTAGGATCGTAAATTGATCTTATCTAAATCTCCTAACCAAATTACTCATTTGCAGGAGTATGCATTTTAGTAAACTATTACCTATTTCTTGGGACTAAAGTGTTAAAGGTGTTGAAAATAAGAATGTGGTATGGCATCCCAGGATAGGGGACACGCAGGGCTTTGGGGATAGGCCAAATGACTTAGCATGAGACCAGGCCAAGGGCTGGCCAAACAGTCTTGAACAAATAAAGAGTTACTCCAGTAGGTGACAGGAACCAGACACTGAGTGCAAAAACAGTACCTTGCTCGGCCGGGCGTGGTGGCTCACGCCTGTAATCCTAGGACTTTGGGAGGCTGAGGCGGGTAGATCACTTGAAGTCAGGAGTTCGAGACCACCCGGCCAACATGGTGAAACCCCGTTTCTACTAAAAATACAAAAATTAGCCAGAAATCACTTGAACCCGGGAGGCAGAGGTTGTAGTGAGCCGAGATCATGCCAGTGCGCTTTAGCCTGGGCAACAGAGCGAGACTCTGACTCAAAACAAACGAACAAAACAACAGTGCCTTGCTGAGTGCAAAACCAGAACAGTCTTGTTCCAGATCGAAGAGAAATCAGGTTACACTGGGTACAAGGCAGCCTGCAGAGCTCAGAAATATGTACTACCTCTTTCTCCTTCCTGTAATGGGGTATAGGGGAGCAGGGAAGCTCCTTGTAGCACTGCTGCCCTCTGATACATGACTGTGCACCAACTCTGAGGACAGGCAGGGCAGGCCTCACAGTGCCCAGTTTATAATTAGAGAAAATAAGGCCTAAGACAGTGGTGTTCAATCAGTGCCCTGGATTTCATAGGAGTGCCTCAAGGGCTGACTGGGAGAGGAAGGTGGAGTAAGAGGAGCAGAGGAGGAGTCCAGACTCCAACTCCAGCCTCAACTCTGCTTTTTTTTTTTTTTTTTTTTTTTTTAATTTGTAGCTCATTTAGAGTCTCAAAAAGAATTTAGGTGTTTTTTATTAGTGTTCAAGAAACTCATTTGTACATATTAGAAAAGATTTATTGACATAAAAATAATCTTTTCCTCCATTTAAAAATCTGATTACAACCACTGTTTAACACAGTGTAAACACCGTTTAACACAGTTTAACACAGTGTTGAGATATTCAACACTTTATTAGAAAATAGGTTTTGTGTTAGATGATTTTGCCCAAATGTATGTGTTCCAAGCATGGTTAAGATAGACTGGGCAAAACTATACTGTTCAATAGGTTAAGTATATTAAATGCATTTTCAACTTATGATATTTTCAACTTATGGTGGATTTATCTGCTTTATATATTAGATTTTGTTCTGTCACTCACTCTGTGGCCGTGAGCAAGTCACTCCACCCTTCCATGCCTCAGTTTCCTTATTAATCTAATGAGGATAACAACAATATATACAATATATACAGTTCCAGTTGCTGTAAGAATTAAATAGGTCAAGGTAGGTAAAGTGCTTGGTACACACAGATGAAACTTGAAAAGATTCTACTAAGTCAAAGAAGCCAGTCACAGCATGGTATATTCCTTGGTATATTCCACTCACAGCAGATGTCGAGAACAGGCACAGCCATAGAGAAAGAAAGATGAGTGGCCACCTAGGGTTATGGGGCAGTGGGGATTAAGGTTGATGACTAAGGGTGCAGGTTTCTTTTTGGGGTAATAAAAATGTTCTAAAATTGATTATAGTGACGGCTGCATAATTCTGAGGATATACAGAAAGCCACTGAATTACACATTTTAAATGGGTGAATTGTATAGTACATGAATATATCTTAATAAAGTTGTTGCCAAAAAAAATGCTTACTGCCGCACTGGCATGAAGTAACTGCTAGTGTTATGATGATGGTGACTCATCCGATATAGCACTGGCCTTCTCTTGGACTGCTTGTTGTGCTCTCTAGGGCTCTGCCAGGCACTGACTGCTCCAAAGGGTGCTTTTTCTTTTCTTCTTTCTCTTTTTCTGTTTTTTTTTTTGACAGTGTCTCACTCTGTCACCCATGCATGATCACGGCTCACTGCAGCCTCGACCTCCCTGGCTCAAGTGATCCTCCCAGCTGAGCATCCCAAGTAGCTGGGACTACAGGCTTGCACCATGATCAGCTAATTTTTTTATTTTTTTGTAAAGACAGGGTCTCCCTGTGTTGCCCAGGCTTGTCTTGAACTCCTGGGCTCAAGCAATCCTCCAGCCTTGGCCTCCCAAAGTGCTGGGATTACAAGCGTGAGCCACCATGCCCAGCCTCTTCTTAATTTTTTACTCTGAAAAAATTATAGACTCACAGGAAGTTGCAAAGATAGTGCAGACATGTCCCAAGTACTCTTCACCAAGCTTCCCCTGATGGTGACATCTTACATAGCTATAGTACACTATCAACTCTAGGAAACTGGTGTTGGTACAATATGTGTGTATAGGTCTATGCCATTTTATCACATGTGTACATTTGTTTTTGGTTTTGTTTGAGACGGAGTCTCACTCTGTCACCCAGGCTGGAGTGCTGTGGTGCAATCTCGACTCACTACAACCTCTGCCTCCCAGGTTCAAGTGGTTCTCCTGCCTCAGCCTCCTGAGTAGCTGGAATTGTAGGCACTGGCCACCATGCCCAGCTAACTTTTGTATTTTTAGTAGCGTGGTGGTATTAACAGGTGGGGCCCTTGGGAGGTGATCAGATTTAATGTCATGAGGGTGGAGCCCCTGATAAGATCAGTACCCTTAGAATAAGCAGCAGAGACCAGAGCTCTTTCGGCCACGTGAACACACAGTGAGAAGGTGGCCATCTATCTGCAAGCCAGGAAGGGAGCCCTCACCACACATTGAATCTGCCGGCACCTTGATCTTGGACCTCCCAGCTTCCACACAACTGTGAGAAATAAGTATCTGTTATTTAAGCCACGCAGTCTATGGTGTTTCAGTAAGTAGCCCAAGCCAACTAAGACACACACAAAAGCACAAATGCTGGTTCGCTGGAAGGAAAGAAGGCACTTGTGCCAGCCGTGAGGAGCTGGTCCCTGAAGGCAGCTCAGCCCTGGACAGAGGCTCACCTGGGGTGCTGGCGTCAGAGGCCAAGGGCTGCTCCTCCCTCTGAGGCTCCCCACTCTGTGGAGAATCTTCCCCTGGAGGTTCATGGCCTGTTCCCTGGGCCTGCTTGTTGCCACGGATGTTGTGCATTGTGTTCCTGAAAGGAGACAAGAACAGAGGAGCATGAGGCTGAACCCTGCCTTTCTGCCCTTCTGTCCTTCCCGCCACCACTGCTGGAGCTCAGGTCTCATCCCCACACCCTGTCATCCTGACTGGTCTCCCAGACTCCAGGCACCCTACATGATGCCTCCCCATGCATGGCACTCCCAATCTCCTTTACCTATCTCTTTCGCATTCTCATCTTCCACACACTATGTGGCTTATAAGTAATACAAGCTTGACTTCCTTAACCCCCACCCCTGCAGCTGGAATATAAATGCCATGAGGCGGAGGTATTGTCCGTTTTGTTAACTGATGCACCTACAATGCCTAAACGGTGCCCAAAACATAGAAGGTGCTTAATATGGGTGTGTTGAGTGAATGCTGAATGGACTTGCTGAACCAACTTTCCCGAAACCTTCATCTGGTTTCATAACTATCTGGCTCAAAAACCATCAGTGGCTCCCGACTTCTGCTGAGATAAGTTGCAAACATCTCCTGGCATCTTTCCCTGCTTGCTCTCTTTCCCTGCTCAGATCTGTCCTCTGTGCAGCCTTCACTGACCATCTCATGGCCTCCAAGGGGCTTAGTGTACTTCGCAGCGGGGTCACCCTTTGGCCAAGTACTTGTCTAGGCTGAAGCCTCATGATGTCATTTCTTTAAGAACCGGGTACTAACCTACCTGCATGTTTGCTGGTGCCCAACACTGGGTTGTACATGCCAGAGACCGGGCTCAATACATGTTTGGTTTATAGAAGGGAACTAGATAGTACCAAAGGCTGACCTAAGATCACAGACCACAGAGAAGTTCATAATGAGCTGGATGTAAAAACAGTTCAAGGAGTTTATTTTCCCTTGCAAAGAGATAAGATTAATGACAGGGAGGGAAAATGATGAAAGGAGTTCACTAGGTCAGTGTATTTCGAACTGAAAGTTCCCACTCATTGGTAGATTGTAAAATCAGTTTAGTGTCATGACCAGCATTTAAAAAATGAAATAGAAACTATCAGGGCTGCTGCCACCTGCCTGCATCCACCTGTGTTGCATCGGAATCCTGAGGAGCTGTTGGGTGGTCCAGACCAAGGCTGGCTCGTGTGGAAGTCATCCTTGCCTCTGTTTGCCGACCCTCCCATCCATCCTGTCTCCCAGTGGTCGTCATGCGGCGCACATCTCCTGCCTGCTGTACTAGTTCCATTTGCTCTTTTGGAAGCAGGAGCTAGAACTGACGCTTGTGGGGCTACAGGACTTAGGCCAAGACCAGCTTTGTGAATATCACTGCGTCAGGTCAATTTAGTGAAAACATGATACCCACAGTGAGCTTCGACACGAGGAAAGTAACTAAAGGTAACATCACAGTAAAGATCTGGGATATGGCTGGGCACGGTGGCTCACGCCTGTAATCCCAGCACTTTGGGAGGCTGAGGTGGGTGGCTCACGAGGTCAGGAGTTCAAGACCAGCCTGGCCAGGATGGTGAAACCCCGTCTCTACTAAAAATACAAAAATTAGCCGGGCGTGGTGGCGCATGCCTGTAGTCCCAGCTACTCGGGAGGCTGAGGCAGAGAATCGCTTGAACCCGGGAGGCGGAGGTTGCAGTGAGCTGAGATTACGCCACTGCACCTCCAGCCTGGACGACAGAGCGAGACTCCATTTCAAAAAAAAAAAAGATCTGGGACATAGGAGGACAACCCCAATTTCGGAGCATGTAGGAACTATATTGCTTAGGAGTCAACGCTATTGTTTACATAACAGATGGTGCAGATCGTGAGAAGATAGAGGCCTTGAGAAATGAGCTACGTAATCTAGATAAACCACAGTTACAAGGAATTCCAGTGCTAGTACTTGGAAGCAAGAGAGAGATCTTTCTAATGCCTTGGATGAGAAACAGCTAATTGAAAAAATGAATGTCTGCTATTCAGGATAAAGAAATGTGCTACTATTCAATTTTTTGCAAAGAAAAGGATAATGTAGGTATCACACTTCAATGATTTATTCGACATTCAAAATCTAGAAGCTGAAGCATCTCCTGAAGTCTTCCAATCCTTCTCAGCTATAATCCTAGAATTATTGTCTGTTTCTCTAAAGCACTTCCCAAAATACGGTCCTTCCTAACCCCAATAAATTGTCTTTTTCAGAGTTTATTTCTCATGTGCATTGCTGAAGATGTGTATCCCTAATCCTTCATAAGAATCAGCAAGTTGTCGGCTGGGCACGGTGGCTCACGCCTGTAATCCCAGCACTTTGGGAGGCTGAGGTGGGCAGATCACGAGGTCAGGAGTTCGAGACCATCCTGGCTAACACGGTGAAACCCTGTCTCTACCTAAAATACAAAAAAATTAGCCATGTGTGGTGGCGGGCACCTGTAATCCCGGCTACTTGGGAGGCTGAGGCAGGAGAATGGCATGAACCTGGGAGGTGGAGCTTGCAGTGAGCCGAGAAAGCGCCACCTGTACTCCAGCCTGGGTGACAGAGTGAGACTCCATCTCAAAAGAGGAAAAAAAAAAATCAGGGAGTTGTCATGATCAAGTCAGCACATACAAAACATACACATATCTTACACATACTTGTCTTAAACTGTATAGAGCTTTTTAAAATTTTATTTATTAAAAAAAAACAATTGACCATCTTAACTCAAGAAGATTGCATATTTCCATCCTGGTCTTTCTGGGCCAGATTTTTGTTGTTGTTGTTTGAGATGGAGTCTCACTCTGTCACCCAGGCTGGAGTGCAATGGCACGATCTCGGCTCACTGCAACCTCCACCTCCCAGGCTCAAGCGATTCTCCTGCCTCAGCCTGCCGAGTAGCTGGGATTATAGGTGCCCACCACCACACACAGCTAATTTTGTATTTTTAGTAGAGACAGGGTTTTGCCGTTTTGGTCAGGCTGGTCTCAAACTCCTGACTTCAGGTGATCCACCCGCCTTGGCTTCCCAAAGTTCTGGGATTACAGGCATGAGCCACCGTGCCTGGTCTGGGCCAGATTTTTATATTGGTTTTCAGTAAATGTTTATCTATAACATTTCATTATAGAGTCCAGTAGCTTGATACTGATACTGACTTGATACAGCATGAAGTTTCTAGTGCCACACACAGTTTTTAGAAAACCTTTAAGCCTGGCTCATGTGGGATATAAACATAATGTTTATCTTATCTCACAAATGTATGTGAAATGTATAATTACACCTTAGGAATCCAAAAATGGTCTGCAAAGAGTGAGCGGAGGCACCAGATCAATGTTGTTGGTTCTTTACACTGGTGAGATTCTACTTGATGAGTATTAAAAACACTGCTTTCTGAGAATTCTTTATCACAAAATAGCAGTTGGGGATATGGGAGGAACTAAGGCATGCTTTGTATCTGTGTAGATCATTACTTCCATTTTTTTTTTTTTTCCTCATTCAAAATACTTTTCATGGGGTTGGGAATTGATTATTTCTCCAAAGCTTTTATGAATTTAAAGCATGCCAGTTAAGATAATAAAATCTGTTAAGAATGTCAGACTTTGGCCGGGTGCAGTGGCTCACGCCTGTAATCTCAGCACCTTGGGAGGTCAAGGCGAGTGGATTGCTTGAGGCCAGGAGCTCGAGACCAGCCTGGCCAACATAGTGAAACTCCGTCTTTACTAAAAATACCAAAGTTAACCAGGCGTAGTGGCTCATGCCTGTAATCCCAGCTTCTCGGGAGGCTGAGGCAGGAGAGTTGCTGAATGTCACTTGAACTGGGAAGGCAGAGGTTGCAGTGAGTGGAGATTGCGCCACTGCACTCTAGTCTGGGTGACAGAGCAAGACTGTCTCAAAAAAAAAAAAAGAAAAAAAAGAAAGTCAGGCTTTGCTGAAAAAAAAGAAAGAAAATATCAGAGTGCACCCCACTTAGTGCACCTTGCAACAGCACCACTGTCTGGATTACTATAGCTTTGTAGTAGTGTTGATATTGGGAAGAGTGCGTCTTCAAACTTTTTTTTTCTTTTTTTTTTTGAGATAGAGTCTTGCTCTGTCGCCCAGGCTGGAGTGCAGTGGCACGATCTCGGCTCACTGCAACCTCCACCTCCCAGATTCAAGCGATTCTCCTGCCTCAGCCTCCTGAGTAGCTGGGATTACAGGCGTGCACCACCATGCCCGGCTAATTTTTTTTGTATTTTTAGTAGAGACGGGGCAAACTTTTTTTATTCTTCAAGATTATTTTGGGTACTCTGGGGCTCTTGAATTTCCAGGATCTTGAATTTTAGGTTTAACTTGTTAATTTCTGTAAGGAAGCCACCAGAATTTTGATGGTGATTATATTGAATCTGTAGATCAATTTGGGAAGTATTGTCAGATTAATAGGTTAACAATATTAAGTCTTTTTTTTTTCTTTTTTTTCTTTTTTTTTTTTGAGACAGAGTCTCACTCTGTTGCCCAGGCTGGAGTGCAGTGGCACAATCATGGCTCACTGCAGTCTCTGCCTCCCGGGTTCAAGCGATTCTCCTGCCTCAGCCTCCCAAGTAGCTAGGATTACAGGAATGTGCTACCATGCCCAGCTAATTTTTGTATTTTTAGTAGAGACGGGATTTTACCATGTTAGCTAGGCTGGTCTTGAACTCCTGACCTCAAGTGATCTGCCCACCTTGGCCTCCTAAAGTGTTGGGATTACAGGCGTGAGCCCCTGCGCTCAGCCTAGCAATATTAAGTCTTTTGATTCATGAACATGAGATATCTTTCCAGCTACTTAAGCCCTTTTTTTCAACAATGTTTGGTGTTTTCAGAGCACACATTTTGCATCATTATGTCAAATTCATTCCTAAATATTTAATTCTTTTTCTAATATTGTTATGGAATGTTTTCTTAATTTTATTTTTGGGTTGTTTATTACAGGTGTATAGAAATACAACTGATATTTCTATATTGATCTTGAATCCTGCAACCTTGCTGAACTAATTTCTTAGCTCTAATAGTTTTTCCTTAGGATTTTCTGTAAACAAATATCATGTCAACTGCAAATAAAGATAGTTTTACTTTTTTCCTTCCCAATCTGGATGCCTAATTTCATGTTCTTGCCTAATTGGCCTGGCTAAAGCCTCCAGAACAATGTTGAATATTCCTGATTTTAAGGGGAAAATATTCAGTCTTTTACCATTAAGTATGTTAGCTTTGCATTTTTCATTGATTCCCTTTATCAAGCTGGGGAAGTTTCGTTCTACTTGTTTTTTTTGTTTTTTGTTTTTTGTTTTCTGAGACGGAGCTGCTCTGTCGCCCAGGCTGGAGTGTAGTGGTACAACCTCCGCCTCCTGGGTTCAAGCAATTCTCCTGCCTCAGCCTCCCAAGTAGCTGGGACTACAGGCCTGTACCACCATGGCCGGCTAATTTTTGTATTTTTAGTAGAGATGGGATTTCACCATATTGGCCAGGCTGGTCTCAAACTCCTGACCTCAGGTGATCCACCCACCTCAGCCTCCCAAAGTGCTGGGATTGCAGGCATGAGCCACTGTGCCTGGCCTCCTTCTAGACTTTTAAAAAAATTATTTATTTATTTATTTATTACTATTATTTAGAGACAGTGTCTCACTCTGTCACCCAGGCTGAAGTGTGGTGGCATGCTCATAGCTTACTGCAGTCTTGACCTCCTGGGCTCAAGTGATCCTTCCACCTCAGCCTACACAGTAGGTGGGACTACAGGTGTGTGCCACCACACCCAGCTAATTTTTTGTAGAGATGGGGTTCACTACAATTTTTTGTAGGCTGGTCTCAAACTCCTGGCCTCAACCAATCCTCCCACCTTGTCCTCCCCAAGTTCCGGGTTTACAGGCAAGATCCACTGCGCCTGGCCCTTTCCAGTCTTTGTGAGAGGTTTTATCACAAAGAGATGTTGAATATTGTCAAATGCTTTTTCTCAGTCTACTGAAATGATGTGGTTTTTCACCTTCTTCTTATTAATGTAGTGTATTACATAAATTGAATTTCAGATGTGAAACCAACCATGTATTCCTAAGATAAATCCTACTTTATCGTGGATTAATCCTTTTTATATGCTGCTGAATTCAGTTCGCTAGTATTTTGTTGAGAATTTTTACATCTGCCTTCATAAGGGATATTGGTCTGTATCTTTCTTATGATGTCTTTGTTTGGTTTTGGTATCAGAATAATATCAGTCTTATAAAATGAGTTGGGGGATGTGTCCCCTCCTCTTTTATATTTTGGAAGAATCTGTGAAGAATTGGTATTAATTTTTCTTTAAATATTTGGTGGACTTCACCAGTGAAGTCATTTGGTCCTGAGTTTTTCTTCATGTGTAGTTATTTATTTATTTATTTTACTAATTCAATCTCTACGATGTAATTAGGTCTTTTTAGATTTTCTTCTTGCGTATATTTTAGTAAATGTGTCTTTCTAGGAATTTGTCCATTTTCATCTAAGTTATCAAATTTGTTGGCACATAGTTGTTCATAGTATTCCTCATATAATCCTTTTTGTTTCTGTAAGGTTGGTAGCAATGCTCTCTTTTGTTCTTGACTTTAGTAATTTGAGTTTTCTCTCTTTTCTCAGTCTGCCTAGCTAAAGGTTTGTCAACTTTGTTGCTCTTTTCAAAGAATCTCTATTGATCTCAAACTTAGTTTAAAACAAGATCCAGGTGTGTTTGTGTGGTGTGTGTGTGTGTGTGTGTGTGTGTGTTTTGTATAGTTGGGCCCAGAATAAGAAAATAATGAGATTATACTTTCATGGATAGTACAGCTGAGTGACAGAAGGAAAAATTCATCGGTTGAATTAAGAGCAGAGAAGAAATTAGAACTCAGCACTCCCAATACCTGATCTTTTGCTGTAATTACTATGGTGTCCTGTTATAAGGAGAGCCCCTGGCTCCTTGGCCTAGTGACTTCCCTTTCCCAGTCTTGCCTTCCCCATCTGAAAATACAAGAATGTAGTTCCATTGAAGAGAATCATGATGATCATGATAGGCACTACTATTTACTGAGCATCACTTTATGCTGGGTCCTGTGCTGAGCCCTGTTACATGGATTTCACAAACCACAAGTCACATGAGTTGGAGAGGGACACAGGGCCATATCCCTATAGCTAGAGGCACTGGCTAGGTGGGGTAATCATCACTGCTGCCCACACTTTAACCAGGAACTGCTCCCTCCCTGACATGTCCTGGGTCTGATAAGCAGTCACCCCTGGGGTGTGGGAAAGCACAGAAACCACAACTTTAGGGCAGCGAAAGGCCTTCTAAGCCCTAGCACACATCTCTGGGAATGGGAAGCTCGCTACCTTCTGAAATGGTCCGGCTGGTCACCACCCAGCTAAACCACTATGCTTGGAAGAGCTGTTTCCATTTCATAAATTTATCAACTTTGCTTGGAGCAGTTCATGGACCATTTTCTGTTTAGGTTTAATTCCAGGTCTGCAAGGCCTGGCCAGCATGGGAGTGGTGATCCTAAAGACTTGTTCTGAAAGGATAACCTTGGGAAAGCTAGTTATCCTCCCTGAGCCTCAGTTTCCTCATCTGCAATGGGGATGTCAAACATATCCATAATGAACACTGGATGGACCCTTCCATGGCTCAAATTCTAAGTGAAACACTATGATGCATTCCACTCACTTAATCCTCCCAAGACCAATGAAGTAAATACTATTCTCACCCTCATTGGACAGAGAGAACTGAGATTCAAAGAGGATAAGTAACCAAAACTACAGAGCAAGTAGGCAGTGGGGCTGAGCAGCCCTGGATGTCTAACTCCATGGTTTGAGGACTTAACCATGTGATGATACCACTTCACAGGTTTGTCTAGAGAACTCGAGAGCATAAAGCACCCAACACAGTGCTCAGGAAGCTCCCTACCCCCTTCCCTGAGTATGACCCGGGTTCATGGCAGCACCAACAGTGAGTTCCAAGACCAGCCAGAGCACAAGGGTGTAGGACACAAAGGCAGCTCTCATCTCACCAAGTAGTCTGGGGCTCTCAGCAGCCCAGGGCACTTCTCTTGCAAAGTAGCCTGGCATTTTCTGTGGGCCAAGACAAGTTACAGGAGGGAAGTTGCTCTATGACCCTCTGAAGCTTCCTTCCTTTCTTGGTCTCTGCATTTTCTATGTTCTGCTTCTGCTGCTGTGGCCTCTATCAGGCATGGACTCAGTTTAATATTGGTGAGACTGCCCTGGGTGCATGCTGGCTGGATAGCTGGACTTCTCAGGCCCCCTCTCTACCCCAGCATGCTCCCAATGCACCCAGTTCCCTGTAGCTCCTCCCAACAGGTGATCTCCTGCAGGGTGCCCTCCACATCCACTCACCCTGGAGGGCTCAACCATGCCCTATACCCATCAAGCCTCTCTCTCAAGCTTAGATCTCTCTCCTGGGCTCCAGGTCATTCCATCCAAATGCCTGTGGGGGAGCTCTACCTCCAGCCAGCAGACCCCAAAGAACACTCATTGTCTTTTCCCTAAAACCTGATTCTCTCCTGGAAAGGACGTCACCACCCTCCTAGTCACTCAAGCAAATTCAGACTCTGAAGCCAGCAGAGGGAAATACTCTGCCTGAGTCACACAGAACCAGGGGTCCCTTATCAAAGTCCCGTGAGCAATCTATTTTGCCTTCTAAGAGCTCTAAGTTCATCTGAAGTCCACATGGAACACAAATGCCCAGGCTGGGCGTGGTGGCTCACGTCTGTAATCCCAGCACTTTGGGAGGCCGAGGTGGGCAAACCACGAGGTCAGGAGTTTGAGACCAGCCTGGCCAACATAGTGAAATCCCATCTCTACTAAAAATACAAAAAGTCAGCCGGGCGTGGTGGTGGGTGCCTGTAATCCTAGCTGCTATGGAAGCTGAGGCAGGAGAATCACTTGAACACGGGAAGCAGAGGTTGCAGCGAGCTGAGATCGCGCCACTGCTCTCCAGCCCGGGCAACAGTGCAAGACTCCATCTCCAAAAAAAAAAAAAAAAGAAAAGAAGAAAAGAAAAGAAAAGAAACGCCCAAACAGGATCACTATTGGATATAGTTTGAATTCCTGAAAGTTTCCATCCCTTCAACTAGAGTAACAATAGCAGCAGCAGCTAATATGCATTTCATGCTTAAGACTGCCAAGCACAGTTCTAAAGCAGGCTGCATGCATTAAACGATTTAATTACCATGCTAAGCTTATAAGGCAAGCGCTGTTGTATTTACATTTACTAACAAGGTAAGAAAAGCATTGAGAAACAACTTGCCAACAGCAGCACAGCCATGACTGGTGGAGCCAGGATACAAACCCAGGCAGTTTGCTTCCAAAGCCCAGGCCACACTGCTGCCTTTTTTTTTTTTTTTTTTTTTTTTTTTGAGACAGGGTCTCACTCTGTTGCTCAGGCTAGGATGAAGTGGTATGATCATGGCTTACTGCAGCCTTGACTTCCTGGGCTTGGGATTACAGGCACATGCCACTATGCCTGGCTAACTTCATTTTACTTATTGTAGAGGCAGGGTCTCAGAAGTTGCCCAGGCTGGTTTTGAACTCCTGGCCTCAAGTGATCCTCCTGTCTTGGCCTCCCAAAGTGTTGCAATTACAGGCATGAACCACGACGCCTGGTCCATACTGCTACCTTCTTAGAAATTATCTAAAACAAAGCCTGACAATAGTAAGGTATATATATATAATATATTATTAAATAACAAAGTAGTTGAGATATGATTGACACAATAAATTGCACAAGTTAAAAATGAGTAATTTGATGCTTTTGACATGTATAGACATTTGTGAAACCATCACTACATCACATTCAATATGATCTCATTTATGCAATATGTATATAGAAAATGTAGAGGAAAGAAATATACCAAATGCTAAGAATATTTGTCTGGGTGGTAGGATTATGGATAATTAAAAAAAATACTTTACTTATAATCAAGTGATCCTCCTGCTCCAGCCTCCCTAGTAGCTGGGACTACAGGCTGTGAGCCACCTCGTCCAGTGGGTAATTTTTTATACCCTTCCAGATGTTTCTGATTTCCTATAATGAACATGTACCACTTTTCCAATGAATGTATTTTTTTTTTTTTTTTTTTGAGACAGAGTCTCACTCTTGTCGCCCAGGCTGGAGTGCAATGGTGCAATCTCGGCTCACTGCAACCTCTGCCTCCTGGGTTCAAGCGATTCTCCTGCCTCAGCCTCCTGAGTAGCTGGGATTATAGGCACCTGCCACCATGCCCGGCTAATTACTGTATTTTTAGTAGAGAAGGGGTTTCGCTATGTTGGCCAGGCTGGTCTCGAACTCCTGACCTCCAGTGATCCGCCCACCTCGGCCTCCCAAAGTGCTGGGGTTATAGGCATAAGCCACCACACCCGGCCAAATGTAATATTTTAAAGTGATGATGTGATTAATTGAAAATAAAGCCCATAACCCTCTCCCGGGGCCCATCTCCCTGCAGGAGAATCACAGTGGGTCAAGCTCCACTGAAGGGGCTGCCTGCAGCTTGGCTAGCCCCTCAGCTCCACTGGCACTTACTGTATTTCAGTCCCCAGGTGCTTGAGGGAAATATTCTGAAGGGCAGGGAAGGGCTGCAAGGCAGCTGCCACGCCCACTAGCCCAGGGGGTGTTTTCACAGGGCACAGGAACTCCTCCAGCTCTGCCTCTTCTTGCCCTGGGAACAAAGAAAAGGGAAATCCATCAGCTGGGTCACTGCACTTGGAAAGACAGGTCAGGTGGGATGCTATGGGTGCAGCCCTGACTGGGAACAGGCTGGAGTTGGAGAGTTGCAGGGGCAAGCAGGCCCTCCCTGTAGGTTAACAGCAGCAAAATAGGCTTTTCACAAAATGTTCTGCAGCCAGTAAAATGATGCATTTTGCTGGTACAGCCCTCCTGCAAACCCCTTAAAAATATGCAGACCTGGCTGGGAGCGGTGGCTCATGCCTGTAATCTCAGCAATTTGGGAGGCTGAGATGGGCGGATCACCTGAGGTGGGGAGTTAAGAAACCAGCCTGACCAACATGAAGAAACCCTGTCTCTACTAAAAACACAAAATTAGCCAGGCGTGGTGGCGCATTCTTGCAATCCCAGCTACTCAGGAGGCTGAGGCAGGAGAATCGCTTGAACCTGGGTGGCGGAGGTTGCAGTGGGCCGAGATCGCGCCATTGCACTCCAGCCTGGGCAACAAGAGTGAAACTCCGTCTCAAAAAAAAAAAAAAAAAAAAAAAAGGCAGACCTACAGTTAATTCTACATCTGAGAGTCCATCCTAAAGATGGAAGTGCAGACAAAACTTTATGTGCCAAGAGGTTCGTTCCTTCTAGCATTGTCACAATAGCCTCAAGTTGGAAAAGATCTAAAAACTTGGGAATAGGTTAAGTATATCAGAATGTCTTCATATGACGGAATATTAATCATTCAAAACAATGTGAATAAATACTTATAAACAGGGAAACCTGTATGGAATATAATATTAAGTGGAAAAAGCCAGATTAAAAAAAAATTGGGCCGGGCGCAGTGGCTCACACCTGTAATCCCAGCACTTTGGGAGGCTGAGGCAGGCAGATCATGAGGTCAGGAGATCGAGACTGTCCTGGCTAACACGGTGAAACCCCATCTCTACTAAAAATACAAAAAATTAGCCAGGCATGGTTGCAGGCGCCTGTAGTCCCAGCTACTTGGGAGGCTGAGGCAGGAGAATGGCCTCAACCCAGGAGGCGGAGCTTGCAGTGAGCCTAGATCGTGCCACTGCACTTCAGCCTGGGCGACAGAGTGAGACTCCATCTCAAAAAACAAAACAAAGAAACAAAACAAAAACAAACAAAAAATTGGAAGGCTGGATGTTGTGGCTCACACCTGTAATCCCGCCACTTTGGGAGGCTGAGCTGGGTGGGTCACTTGAGCTGAAAGTTTGAGACCACCTGAGCAGCATGGCAAAACCCCATCTCTACAAAAAACAGAAAAATTAGCTGAGTGTGGTGGTGCGTGCCTATAGTCCCAGCTACTTGGGAGGCTGAGGTGGGTGGATCACTTGAGCCCAGGAGGTGGAGGTTGCAGTGAGCGGAGATGGTGCCACTGCATTCCAGCCTGGGCAACAGAGTAAGACCCCGCCTCAAAAGAAAAAAAAAATTGGGGTTATAGTGTAATCTCAATTGTACAGAAAAAGTCTCAAAGAAATATACTCCGCAATCTTAACAGTGGTTTGAGCTGCGTGATGGGATTTGCAGTGAGCAGGCTATTCTCATTGTATTTTACTGTTTTTTTTCCAAATTTTCTACAATAAACATGGGTTACTTTATAAACAGAAAAAGAATATGTATTTATCAAAAATAGATGTTTATACAGAGATTTTAAAAACACACGCAAATATTAGGGTCACACTACTGAGTATCAAAAAACAAAGTAGGACATTTTATATTATTATATGATCTGAAATGTGTTTAAATAAAAGGCAGGCAGGAGGTCATAACATAAGGTTAATACTGGCTGCCTCTGGGTGATAGGATTACAGGTTCTTTTTCTTTTTAGTCTTCCAAATGTTCTGTTTAAACAATGATTCTTCTACAGTGAGTGACTTGAAAATGTTTAATGTTAAGCAAGCTTTCAAGGCCAAGGAAATTATGTGAAGTATAAGAGAGGGGAGGTGAAATATTTAGAAATTAACTTTGAGTGTTAGAAAAAGGAGAAAAGAGCCAGGACCACTTATGGGTTGGTATGAGCTTGATTAGACAGCCCCTGAGACCTACCAGGGCAGCAGACACTTTCCACTTGGAGCCCTCTTACTGGGAGACTGAAACATTTAGGAGCGGAGATTTGTTTTTGCACTATATCTGCAAAAAGGGTGTGGGTATAAAAATATTAAATATAATGATGGGGGTCAGGGGGAGCTGTTCAACCTACCTAAGAAAAGAAACTTAGCAGTAGTTCAAACAACAGACAGTGTATTTGTAAATTCCTAACAGGCTCCATCAGATCTGGCAGGTAGGCCAGCACTCACACTCCTCAAATGCGAGATCTTTGAGGCCCTCCCTTCCATGAATCCTCTCACCAAACACAGACTGGGTGTTTACCCTGAGGCTTGTGAGTGGGGCTGGAGAAAGTGAGAAGAATAAAAGCAGAAACTCAAAGCCTAAGGAGCAGGGAAGGGGAAAAAGTGCACACCTGGGGTCAGGTGCTGGGGTAGGGGCAGTTCTGGGAGGTGGAGACAGAGTCTTTCCAACCCAGGTCAGGGGAAACTTCCTGGAGGAGGGGCACTGCAGCTGGGCCTTAAGGACTGGGGTTGATTTGAATCTGCAGGAGGAACCAGGAAAGATCTTCCTATGCCAAGCATACAGGCAACAGTAAGGGGTTTCAGACCCAGAGCTGAGTTTGCGGGGAGGAAGCTGGGAAGATGGGGTGGGGAAGGCCAAACAGAAAGGGGTGTGGGTAAGTGGTTGGATCTCATCACGATGGAAACCAGAGCTCCTAGGGGTTTGAGCAGGAGGCTGAAGAACCAAACCTGGCTTTGGGTAGAAGATCTGTAGCTGGGCCCTGTTTCCATGGGGAGGGTGTTGCGACCTGGTTGCAAATCAGTAAAAAAAAAAAAAAATCAAGGGCCGGGCGCAGTGGCTCATGCCTGTAATCCCAGCACTTTGGGAGGCCAAGGCAGGCAGATCACCTGAGGTCAGGAGTTCAAGATCAGCCTGGCCAACGTGGGGAAACCCATCTCTACTAAAAATACAAAAACAAACTGGGCGTGGTGACGTGTGCCTGTAGTCCCAGCTACTTGGGAGGCTGAGGCAGGAGAATCGCTCGAACCTGGGAGGCGGAGGTTGCAGTGAGCCGAGATCACACCACTGCATTCCAGCAGCCTGTGTGACAGGGCGAGACTCCGTCTCAAAAAAAAAAAACAAAAACAAACACAAACAAACAAAAAAAAAAACAAGAAGGATACTCTCTACCTTGTCTCCTTCAGAGTTAATGTATACAAAAATGTTTAAAAAGCCGTAAAGCTGGGCTGGGCACGATGGCTCACGCCTGTAATCCCAGCACTTTGGGAGGCGGAGGTGGGTGGAGCACGAGGTCAGGAGATTGAGACCATCCCAGGTAACACAGTGAAACTCCGTCTCTAATAAAAATACAAAAAAATTAGCCAGGCGTGGTGGCACGCACCTATAGTCCCAGCTACTTGGGAGGCTGAGGCAGGAGAATCATTTGAACCCAGGAGACGGAGGTTGCAGTGAGCCAAGATCGCGCCACTGTACTCCAGCCTGGGTGACAGAGCGAGACTCCGTCTCAAAAAAAAAAAAAAAAAAAAAAGCCATAAAGCCCCATATTGTGGACTCACATCTTTCAAAGTAACCTTTAAGCCAGACTCTGAACTGATTCGAAAAAAATAAAATTTTTTTATTTATCAATATTTTAACCATCTTATTCTCCTTCATTCAAAGCAAACCAAAAAAACTTAACAGTTTCTCTAAGATTTTGATATCTTAGCAGTACTTCCCTAACTGCTAATATCTGTTTTCTTGTAAGTGCCACCTGTGGGCCTAGATCAACTCTGAGACTACACAGAGCCAAGTCCTGGGGGTTGTCATCACTGGTAGGTTTTACCAATGAGGAAATAGCCACTCAGAGAGGTTGAGTTTTGTGGCCAAAGTCAAAGCTAGCAGGTGACACCGTTATAGACTCAAACACGTCCCTACTTTTGCTTTTCCCATTAAACAATGTGGCTTATCAGAGCAGCCTTTCTAACAAGCAGATCATCTAAGACAGGAGGGGCTGCCCATGAAGGCACAAGCTCCCAATGCAAAGGAGTGTGCAAGGCACGGGCGGCACAGGATGGCGATGCCCCAACAGAGACCAGCACTTCCCACAGGAGGCAGAATCAATGACCTGAGGCTGCAGTCTGGGGCACCCTGGAGAAATGCCCTCCATGAGTGACCACACAGAGGATTTTCAGCAGCATTTATTTGTAATTCTCCTTTTACGTGAGCTCTGAGGGTTGCCCCACCACCAGTGGGAAGAAGGCGCTGCCTAGACAAAAAAAGGGCCTGACCCAGGAGGTCACTGCCTCCCTAGAGGGCCCTGGACGAGTGCCTGGCTGCCCCTTAGCTTTGGGAGGGCAGGTTATGAGTCTGCAGCCTAGGGTTTGAATTTCAGCACTGATGTTTTCTTACTACATGACCTAGGACAGGTCTCTTGACCTCTTTGAGCCTTAGTTTCCTGGTCTATAAAATGGAAATAGCACTAACTACTCTATAAAATTATTGTGAGGATTAAATAAGATGACGCATGTAAAGTGTTGGGGCAGCAGGCATATTTCATGACAGTACACATTTATACAGGTCCTTTGTAAACTGTAGCTTACTGTGGCAACTTGCTATTCTTATTATTATAAGTCTCGTGGGTTCCCTTTGATCTTTCTTGGCTCTGCGGAGACCGTTGTTTAGGTAAAGCATAAAATAAAGTTGTAAATCCTTAAAAGCAGGAGAGAACATGCCTTGCAGATTGCTCAAGAGCAGTGACGAGACACTTTTTACCAGAAGTCTCTGACTCAAAGTCAGACATGGGTCAGGAGGTTTTCAACGACATGGGAGCGGGCCGCTGCTTCCTCAGGAAGGGTGGAGGCGGGCGAGGTGGGGCAGCCTGCTCCACGTGGCTAATCCAGGCCTTGCTGACTTGCCCAAGACACCAGAAACATCTTTCTAGGTGGGCTGGGAAGGTTTTGCCAGGCCCTGGGTCTGGGAGGAGAGTGCAGGCTTGCTGCAAGGCGAGGAAAGGTTTCAAGAGGAGAAGCTCACGTCCCTGCTTCCTGAGTCTCAGGCAGCATCCTCCTCAGGAGACTAGAACCCAGGTCATCACAGCAACTCCACCCCTTTCTCCAATGCCCACAGCAGGGGCTGGCCTGGAAGAGGCCCGCCGTGTGTGCTGAAGCAAAGCCGCACAATTAAAGAACCTGCAACAGGTTCCCCACAGCAGAAGAGGTCTGAGGATCCCAGAGCCGTTCTTCCACAATCTGCTTCTTCAAATTTCAGTTAAGACACAGGAATTCTATTATTGCAGAGGTTTCTGCTGGCCTCTAGTCTGATGCTGATCTTTGCAGCAGCATCAACCCAGGCTGCAGTTTTCTGCAAAACCAGGGTTGTCTGGCTCCCTGGCAGATGGGGAGTGGGGGCTGGAGCAGAAGCAAAGAAACCCTTCAAAAGAAACTCCAAAGAAATTACTAATGATTATTAAGAATAAAAGGAACAGTTATTATACTAGTAACAGCACCTATATATGTTTGTGTATATACTATTATGATAGTAATAGCATGGGTGTGTTCTATGCACAGACATATAGACATAGAATAACAATATTATTAGGACAACTCCCATGTATTGAGCACTTACTATGTGCCTGAGGTTATGCTAAGGGGTTTACATTCCTTTCCTCATTTAATTATAAAGTTTAGTGTATTGACTTACACATTCATTCCACAAATATCCAATGTGCCAGGCAGGACACCAGGGAGGTGACACAGGCAACCAAAAAAAAGTCCCCACCCTTAAGGGCTAGCGGGTGGAGATGGACAAGGACGGGGGTAATTATTAATAGAACACAATGGAACAGGTCTCCCTTGAAGTGTTTGAAAAAAGTGTTGAGGGCCCAGAGAGAATCCAGCTGACAAAGTCTGAGAAGGCTTCCAGGAGGAGGCTGGCAAGAAGAGAAGGCAATGCTGGAGCTTGGCCATAGAGAATAAGCAAGAATTTGCCAGGCAAAGGAGAGAGAGCAGAGACTCTGCCGAAGCATCAAGCCCAAGGTGGGGACTGGGGGAGCAGGCAGAGGTGAGATCAGGAGGGATGAGCCCTGAGTGCAGGAGTGAGGTGGTGGGTGGCATTGGATGGCAGTGACCGGGTTCAGGGTCAGGTTTAAGAAAGCTCACTCAGGCTGCAGAGAAGGGGATGGGTTCTGGCATGGCCTCCACATGGGGATACTGGAGAGGAGGCCACTGTGACTTTGAGAGATGAGGTGTGACCTGGGCAGTGGCAGCGAGAAAGGCCTGGGTCTGATGTATGGGTCAGAGGGCAAAAATGGCCAGCACAGTGATTGACTGGACTCACTGGCTGGAATTGAGGAAGGGTGGAGGGCAACTACTAGTGGGTACAAGAGGGGAAATCTACTGAGAGGAGGGAAGGGAAATGGGGAGAAGGGTTGGGGCAGATGTACTCAGCTTTGGACATGCAAAGCACCCAGGTACAGAGGTCCAGGGGGTACTTGGTAACAAGTCCTGCCCTTGCCTATTTGGCCTCCCTGTCAACTGAACATGAAGCACTTTAGACACAGTGTGGCTTTGTACTGGGACCTGATTTTCCACATTCTTGCAGGGGCAGCTGTGAGGTGGTCCATACCGATCCTAAAACCTGCCAATCATGTTCCTGGCTGCAGCATGGGGGTGGGAGGGTGTGGTCTCCTGGACTCTTCCACGTTGGGATGATCCAGGATTTGGGATCAAGAAACTTCATTTGTGAGTCATCTGGGGGAAAAGGATCCTATCTTATGGGAACACCAGCGATAAAAATAATTGATCTGGCCAGGCATGGTGGCTCATGCCTGTAATCCCAGCACTTTGGGAGGCTGAGGCGGGTAGATCACGAGGTCAGGAGTTCAAGATCAGCCTGGCCAAGATGGTGAAACCCCATCTCTACTAAAAATACAAAAATTAGCCGGGCGTGGTGGCACGTGCCTGTAATCCCAGCTGAGGCTGCCTCGGGAGGCTGAGGCAGAGAATTGCTTAAACCCGGGAGGCGGAAGTTGCAGTGAGCCGAGATTGCACCATTGCACTCCAGCCTGGGCAACAGAGTGAGACTCCATCTCAAAAAAAAAAAAAGTCACTGATCTACCCAACTCACGACACAAATCTACAACACTGCATTTTCTTATTAACCCTCCTCACAGCAATTCTGTGAAAGTTTGATTTCTTGAGGCCTTCCATAATAGTCATCACAATAGTAGCTCACAAGTATTGGGTTCTGACCATGTGCAGGCATTGTTCTAACCATTTTAGGTATATGAATTCATTTAATCCTCAAAACATCCCTAAGAAGTAGGGATAATTTATAAACCTCATCTTATGGGGAAGGAAACAAGCTCAGAAAGGTTAAACAACTTGCCTAAAGTTATATAGGACTAGGATTTGAACCCAGGCAGCCTGGCCTCAGCCCAAATTCTTGCCCTAACTAATCCTGAGTCATATCCCTGGCTCTCTGCTTCCTTAGCAGAGGGCTCCTCCCGCTCATTCCCAGCAGGAGGGTAAAGGCTTAATCACCAGAGCCCTGGGTGTGCAGGCAGGAGGGTAGCCCATTGGGTACCTAGCTCGAGGTGCAGGACGGGCCCATTCCCAGCCAGGGCGGCATCAGGGGTGGCAGGAGGTGCCGGCGGGCTGTTGTGGAATTCCCAGCGCTTCATCTGCAGCTGCTGCAGCCAGTACAGCATCGCTTGCTTGGTGGCGGCCTGAGAAGCACAAGGATTAGTTGGCAAGGCCCTGTGCCTGAAGGGTGGCACTGGGTGCAGGAAGAGGGGAAGGTTGTGGGAGGCTTAGGAATGCTTTCTTTCCCAGGAAAAAAAAAAGGGGGTCACTGTAGGTATGTATGCTTCCTGGCCACAGAAGATCATCAGGCTCTGGTCTCCCACTCAGCGGTTCCTTAGCTGCTCTGGGCCTCAGTTTCCTCATCTGTACTCTGGTGACAATAAGTCTCATTGCATAGGACAATGATGAGGATGAAATGAGACAAGGGTATCACACAGTATCTGACACACAGTAGGTGCTCAAAATGTGCTCACTGGATAGAGGAATTTGGAGGCGCTGTGAGAGGGGGAGGTGCACTGAATTCTGATATGCGTGGGGTCCTGGTACCATCACTATCTCTGTGTGACATCTCCAAGTCTTTGCTGCCTTTTGTGGAATAGGAGTAATCCTTGCCTTGGGGATGCACTGGAATCATGGATATGAATGGAGACTGGAAAGCCACATGCACATGTGACAACATGGTGGCACCTTCCAGGTGCTCTGGCCCTCCAAACAAGTTCATGGTAAATGCTGGTCATTAGTCTCCCAGCACTGGCTGGCGGTTGGTCCAAACATCCACTTTCACATCCAATAACTCCTGGATTCTTCAGGAGGGAGGCAAGGCAGGAGTGAGCACCCCTTTCTACAGATGGAGAAACTAAACCTCTGAAGTTGCCCAGGCATGTGGTGGTAGAACTAGTCCCATAACCCTGGTCTAGAAGTTGGATTTTATGGCCAGGAGATTAGTGGCTTCATAAAGAAGGCCTGAGATCAGCTGAGGTGGACTGCAGAAGATGAACAGCTCACCGGGCGTGGATGGGGATTCTCAGAGAGCTGCCTGCAATCAAGGCCACATGAGAACAACAGCGGGCTACATGGCAACAGAGGCAAACTCCCTATCTCAGGGGTTCACTGGTGTGCACTATGCAGGGGGGAGTCTGTGAAAGTGACCCTCAGGCTGTCACACAGGTATCAATAAGATAAATGATGCCCACCAGTGTTCTCTTTCCATACACTCTCTCAGAGAGACTGCAGCACCTCCCAGGTCTTCCCCATGACCTTAATGCTGATGAGCTCCAGCCGAACCCAAATACCCCATTTTATTAACTCATTTGACAAGGGTATACTGAGCATTGACATATGTGTCAGAGATAGTGCTAGGCACTGAATACAGGGGTGAGCCAACACACATGGTCCCTGTCCCCTTGGAACTTGAGAGTCTCCTGCAGGGGACATGTACCTGGATGTTCCATGGGCTCCTCATCCTGAGTTCCCTCCTGTCAGTGACTGACCCAACCAGGCAGTCAGCCAGTTACTCCAGCCACTCCTGACATCTCCCTCATTCTATTTCCCTACTATCCCGAGACACCTCCATTGTCCCCTTCCCCACAGCCACAGCTCTAGTTCAGCTGTCACTCTCTTCTGATCACCTTCTGATGGGCTCCCTGAGTACCAGCCTTGCCCTTCCCCTAGTTTCTTCTCTATCCAATAGTCAGACTGAGCTTTTGCTACTTGGCCTAATTTGCCAATTCCCCACCCTCGGGCCTCTGCTCTTCAACTCCATCCTTTGGGCCCCTCTGTTTTTCTGGCTCATGTGATTTGCCTGGACACTCAGGGCTGTATCATGGTTTCCTAATTTGCTCACGGTGCTCTCTTGGCCTGGAATACCTTTCTCCCTCTTGTCTGCTTGCCACCTATTTCTTCTTTCAAGCCTTGGGTGTGTCCCTCCTCCAGATGCCTTTCTGGCTAGCCCCTTCCACTTGGTGGAACTGACTCCTCCTGTCACCACACCTTCTTGCACAGACTTATCACATGTCTCTACAGAACATTTCAGGGTGCATGCAGGTTCTCCCTCAGTCTCTCCCACCAGACTTTAAGCTGTCAGAGAACCAGGGGTGGGGGTGCATTAGCTCCACACCCCGCCAAGCGCAGAGCCAGGAACAATGGAATACTATTATAAAGACCATGTGTTGAAGACCCTGCATACAGCAGTCAACCTGTGGAAGAGACACATAGACCCGGGAACCACATGACCTCGAAAATGCCTTCCCTGGCCAGGGATTCCTGAGTTTCATTATTTTAACCAAGTCCCCCAGCCTGGTCACCCGCCAAGTCCAGTCAGTAAAGGAGAACTGAACACGTGGGCATCCACAGATACCCACTTAGCTGGAGTTGGGGTTGGAGGGGTGGACAGATGGGGATGGGGTGGGGAAGGCTATCTCCTGGCACATTCTTCTCTGATGCCCATAGAACACTTAGCCCAGATCTGTCTTTCCAATTAAGTTATGGGACACCTCCTCTTGACATTAGCACTCTGACCTTGGTTCCATCACCTTGTGTGTGCATGTGTGCTTATGCAACAAAAAATTATTAAGTACTCCACTAGGTACCAGGCTGTATTCTAGGTGATGCAATTAATTCAACAATTTGTACATGCCTGTGATGTGTCAAATGCTTACAAACCACCTAGGTTCTGAGAGGTTAAGTAACTTGTCCAGGGTCACACAGCTAGTAAGTAGCAAATGTACAATTTGAATCCAAGCCCGTCTGATTTCAAAGAATGTGGCCTTTCTACTGCTTTAGGCTTTCTCAGTTACACATGATGATAAAACCTACCCCTTGCTGCTGATAGGAAAACAGGTTTAAGCATGCCTAGATGAACAATCTAGGCTGATCAGTGAAACCTAAGTGTTTATTTTCCTAATCCCTGCCAGTCTCTTCTCAGCATTCACTGACCTTGGCCAAAATATCAAGAAACGGGAATCAGAATCCTGGCCTTGAGAGAGGATTGCAAAGACCATATTTTGACTTACTTAGGTCCCAGGTAAGAAAGTTAAGGTAACTGCACTGTCAGGCACACCCAAAAGTAAAAGTTTTGATTCAGCACTGAGAGGTAGAAAGACTATGGGATTCCAAGCTACCCTACTCTCTAGACGCATGGACCTCGAGCCAGTCCTTTCATCTCCCTCTGACTCAGTTTCTTGATCCGTAAAATGGGTCTGTCTTCCCTGCCTTGTGGGAACCCAATGAGGAAATGGGTGGGAATGCACTTTGCAAAGCACAAAGTTCTTGGAACTGTCGTCACCGACACTCCAAATTTACTGTGTCCACCTCACACTCGCGCCCAGCCTTGCCCTGCGAAAAGGGGACCTCACGCCGCTGGAAAGGAGAAAGTCGTTGCAGGAATTTACCTTCAGGGTAATAACCCGGCTGGGAGTCTTGATTTCGAAGATCCCCTCCTCAGCGTCCGCCTTACAGTCAAACACTGCACTGGAGAGGTCGATGCTGTCCAAGGGATTGGCATCCTGAGCGGTCCGCGAGTAATACAGCTGACATTTCCTTTCGTCGTAGAAGAACCAGCGGGATTTCCAGCCCCGGATGGGCCCTTTGCCGCCGAACTTACTTAAATACCCACAGAGTTTCTTGGGGACCGCCTCCAGGGACCGGGCGCAGTCCCCCGATTCTTCCTCCGGAGGCGGCACCTGTGGATCCCTGGCAGACTCTTCGGACCCAGGGGCAGAGGAGCTGGACTCCGGGGCGTTCTCCCCAGCGCCCTCCATCGCTGCCAGCCGGAGACTGCGGAGGGACGAGGGGTCCGCGGGACCACCAGGGACAAATCTCGGAGACTCGGCGGGCAGCTTCCCAAAGGGAGACACCTGGGCGGGGGCGGGGCCGACGGCGAACCCGCCCCCAGGAAGCCACAGAGTCGGGACCGGGTGCGGTGCGCGCGCCTCAAAGATCGCAAACCCAGGTTACGGCGGCTGGCCACGCCCCTCCACCGCCAGGCCACGCCCCCGCAGCGCTCAGTCGGCTCCCTGCAAAGCCCAGCTGCTTCCGGCTTTTTCTCCGCGCCAGTCAGCCATCTTTACTGAGGGCAGCCGTGCTCCCTGGCTTCAGGTTAAAGGCGTGGTGGCACTGAGTTAGGTTAACCGCGGGCAGAGAAGCCTGTCCCTAGCTACACTTCCCTGGTAGTTCGCATAGTCACCTAGAAAGATAGTGCTTTCTTGCACCCGATGGGCTGCTTGTTCCCTCCCTGTGCCGCGCGGGGCACCCTCGGACGGCGCATCTCGCGGCCATTGGCTGAAAGGAAGACCGCTGGGAGGCCCATCTTCCGGCGTCGCCCGGGCAGCGCGGCTCCGGAGCTGTCTGCCACTCTTCTCCTGGTGTTCCTTCAGCCCCGTCAGTGACGCCGCGGACGGCCTTCTTATCCCTCGCCTGACAGCAGTGGCCTCCCCAGCTCTCTGTCCTGGCTCCTATTCGCCTCCTGACAGCGCTGGTTGTGTTGCTTGGGGCGCCCAGGCGCGGCCGCTGCGCTGCGGAAACCCATGCCACTCCTGGGTCATAGTTGGGTGCAGTACATTTATTTTTATTTTGTTATTGCTATTATTATTTTTAGAGACGGTCTGGCTCTGTCACCCAGGCTGGAGTGCAGTGGCGCGATCAGAGCTCACTGCAGTCTCCGCCTCCCGGTCTCAAGCCATCCTCCCGCCTCAGTCTCCCGAGTAGCTGAGACCGCAACTGCGCACCACCACACCCGGCTAATTTTTAAATTGTTTTTTGCAGAGAGGGGGGTCTTGAACTCCTGGCCTCAAGCGATTCTCCTGCCTCGGCCTCCTAAAGTGCTGGAATTACAGGCGAGAGCCACCGCGCCAGGCTGTTTTGTAAATAAGTAAAAGAATTTAGGGTTTGACTAACTTGCTCAACTTCTGCCTCATTTTACCTGTTTCCCCTTAAACTTCTCCCCTTCCCTCCTAAGGCGCATTTCTCCATTAGGGTTGCGGAGCCCAATTGCGTCCAGCTTTCTTTAGGAGCTTCTTTCTGCCTTTCTCTTGCCCTTTGTTCAGCCTTTCCTCTTACTTCATCGTCTCCCCCTCAGCCGTCGTTAACGAGACCCTCATGCACACTCAGTGATATTGACAAGAAGCAGGGTGGGGGTAAAGGCGAGGGCTCTAGAGTCTATTTGCATAATTTTCAGATTCCCACTCTGCAATACTGAGTGATTTGCTCAACCTAAAAATGGAGATAACACTTCTTCCTACCCACCCCCGACCCGCCGCCAGACAACTTTACGGTGAAGCTAATGAAATTTATGTTCACTTGCA
The DNA here is from genome assembly GCF_000001405.40 of Homo sapiens. Lineage (NCBI taxonomy): Eukaryota > Metazoa > Chordata > Mammalia > Primates > Hominidae > Homo > Homo sapiens. The sequence continues at coordinate 98,257,084 of NC_000009.12, forward strand.
TGGGTCGCTGGGATTTGTAGTCTAACAGGTGGGGAGTTGCAACCAGGGAGCATTTCTCCTAAATGCCAGAGAGCTCTTCATTTGTTATAATTTACAATTTATTTTCTCATTCTAAATAACCATCGTCATACCTAATTTTGTGTTCATAATTTTGTAATTTTTTAAAAATCAGAAGGCCCTTAATGCTGTTTAATTCCAGTCCCCACAAAACCTGGATCTACACCTGTCTACCCTTAGAGTTGTTTTGATAATTAAATAAAATAATATGTGTGAAGCTCTTAGTACAGAATGTGGGACAAAATATTTCTTTTCTTTTCGAGACAGAGTTTCGCTCTTGTTGCGCAGGCTGGAGTGCAATGGCGCGATCTCGGCTCACCGTGACCTCCGCCTCCCGGATTCAAGCGATTCTCCTGCCACCGCACCCAGCCAGTTTCTTTTCTTTTCTTTTTTTTTAATTTTTTTTTTTTTTTTTTTTTTTGATACAGAGTCTCGCTCTGTCGCCCAAGCTGGAGTGCAGTGGCATGCTCTCCAATTCCCATTCTCCTGCCTCAGCCTCCCGAGTAGCTGGGATTACATACACGCGTCACCATACCCAGCTAATTTTTGTATTTTTAGTTGAGACGGGGTTTCACCATGTTGGCTAGGATGGTCTGGATCTCCTGACCTTGTGATCCACCGGCCTTGGCCTCCCAAAGTGCTGGGATTACAGGCATGAGCCACAGTGCCTGGCCCCATTCCTGATTTTTAAAACCTCTTAATAAAACAAACAGCATACCTTATTTGTTCTAGGTTTTGTAGCTAGGCAATGATAAATATTTGAAAGAATAATTATAAATATATTACGTATACCAGAAAAACTCAAGTGGTGGCCTGTTTTAAAAAACTGTGCATATGTGTATAGATGTCTCCAGCAGCAAACAAATGGAAAATATAATGGACAACATCCCTTACATAAATGACTTACATAATGAATACCTTATTGCTTTATAGTAGGATATAAGACAAACCAAATATGTCCCTGAGTGGGAAGAGTTAATATTGTAAAGATGTCACATTCCTCAAATTAATCCATACAGTTAATACATTTTCAATCAAACTCTCGATAGGCTTTTTTTTTTTTTTTTTTTTTGAGACAGAGTCTTGCTCTGTCACCCAGGCTGGAGTGCACTGGAGCGGTATCGGCTCACTGCAACCTCTGCCTCCTGGGTTTAAGCTATTCTCCTGCCTCAGCCTCCCTAGTAGCTGGGACCACAGGCAGGGCACCATGCTCAGCTAATTTTTGTATTTTCAGTAGCGATGGGGTTTCACCATGTTGGCCAGGCTGGTCTTGAATTCCTGACCTCAAGTGATCCATCCACTTCAGCCTCCCAAAGTGCTAGGATCACAGGTGTGAGCCACCATGCCTGGCCTCGATAGGCTTTAAAAAAACTTTTTATTTTTGAATAGTTTTAGAAAAAGTTACAGAGACAATGGGAGAATTTCTGTAGACCCTACACCCAGTTTCCCCTAATGTTAACATTTTGCTTAATCCTGGTATGTTTGGCAAAAATAAACATCTAACATTGGTACAAAACTATTGACAAGGCCGGGTGCGGTTGCTCACGCCTGTAATCCCAGCACTTTGGGAGGCCGAGGTGGGTGGATCACGAGGTCAGGAAATCGAGACCATCCTGGCTAACATGGTGAAACCCCGTCTCTACTAAATATACAAAAAATTAGCCGGGCGTAGTGGTGGGCGCCTATATTCCCAGCTACTCGGGAGGCTGAGGCAGGAGAATGGCGTGAACCCAGGGACGGAGCTTGCAGTAAGCCAAGATCGTGCCACTGCACTCCAGCCTGGGCAACAGAGCGAGACTCCCTCTCAAAAAAAAAAAAAAAAACTATTGACAAAACTACAGTCTTTATTTGGATTTTGTCTGTTTTGTACCAATAGCCTTTTTCTATTCCAAGATCCCATTCAAGATGCCATAGTTAGTCATCATTTTCCCTTAGTCTCCTCTGCATTGTGACGTATTTCTGTTTTTCCTTGTTTTTCATGGTCCTGACAGTTTGAAGAATACTAGTCAGGTGTTTTGTAGAATACAATCACTTTGGGTTTGTCTCATGATTTCACTGAGGTTATGTTTTGGGGAAGACTACCACAGAGGTGAGGTGCCCGTCTCATCACAACATCAGAGTACATGATATCTGCATGGTTCCTATACTGTTAAGTTGTGTAGCTTAAATTTTCTCATTTTATTTTATTTATTTTTTTGAGACAGAGTCTTGCTTTCTTGCCCAGGCTGGAGTACAGTGACACAATCTCGGCTCACTGTAGCCTCCGCCTCCCGGGTTCAAGCGGTTCTCCTGCCTCAGCTTCCCAAGTAGCTGGGGTTACAGGTGCTCGCCACCACACCCGGCTAATTTTTTGTATTTTTAGTAGAGACAGCGTTTCACCATGTTGGCCAGGTTGGTCTCGAACTCCTGACCTCAGGTGATCCACCCACCTCGGCCTCCCGAAGTGTTGGGATTACAGGCATCAGCCACCATGCCCGGCCTAAATTTTCTCATTTTAAAAGGATGTTAAGGCCGGGAGTGGTGGTTTTAATAACAAGAAAAGTTAATCACTTGGATAAGGTAGGGTCTGCCAGATTTCTCTGCTATAAAGCTGCTCCTTTTCATTTCAACACACTGTTCTTTGGAATTGGGTTGCTAAATTCAGTCCCCCCTTATAAGTAGCTCCACCTCCTGGAGGGGTTGATAGGAATTTTTGCAGCCTATTAAAATGATTCTTACATACTCTTTTTTTCCTTCCTGTCTTTCCCCCTTCCCTTTCTTTTCCATTTTTTTTTTTTTTTTTTTTTGAGACAGGGTCTTGCTCTGTTGCCCAGGTAGGCTGAAGTGCAGTGGTGCAATCATCACAGCTCACTGCAACCTTGACCTTCTGAACTCAAGCAGTCCTCCTACCTCAGCCTCCCGAGTAGCCAGGACTACAGGCACATGCCACCTCATCTGGCTAATTAAAAAAAAAAATTTTTTTTTTTTTGGTAGAGATGGCAGTCTCACTATGTTGCCCGGGCTGGTCTCAAACTCCTGGGCTTACATGATCCTCCTGCTTCGACCTCCCAAAGTGTTGGGATTACAGGCCTGAGCCACTGTGCCCAGCTTTAAGTTTTACTTTTTCAGAAGTAAACAAGTGAGAGTTGCCAACATTTTGGAGAGAAAGGACAACTAGAAAGGATTTAACCTACCAGACATTTACATTTAGTAATTTGGCCAACAAGTATTGAGTAAGCACTTTCCATCAGTCACCATTTAAAATGTTAGGGATAAGTCATGAGTGGGACAAGGTCACGGCTCACATTGAGCTTTCATTTTAGTCAAAGGAGGTGGGTAATAGGCAGGTAAAGAAGTAAATGAACATAGTAACCTCCAGAGTCTCCTACGTGCTAGAAAGAAAGTGAATAGTATTACAGGAGCAACAGAATTCGGTGTTTTTGGCACATGGACAGGCACATCAATAGAGCCAAGTACAAAGTTCTGAAAAACAAAAATATACGTATTCAGTTAAGTTTATATATTAATCTTATAGCATCTGTCTTAGTCTATTCAGCCTGCTATAACAAAACACATTAGGCTGGGTATTCTGTAAGCAACAGAAACCTCTGCTCACAGTTCTGGAGGCTGGGAAGTGTAAGGTCCAGGTGCCAGCAGATTCAGTGTCTGGTGAGGACTGCTCTCTGCTTCAAAGATGGCGCCTACTTGCTGCCTCCTCACGCAGTGGAACGGGCAAACAGACTCCCTCAAGCCTCGTTTACTAAGGCACTAATCTCATTCATCAGCACTCCACTCTCAAGGCCTAATCACCTGCTACAGACTCTACCTCTTAATACTATCACATTGGGTTTTAGGTTCCAACATATGAATTTTGAGTGGGACGCCAACATTTACACCATAGCACTATTTATCAAAATAGAGTTTAGGTAAATTAGATAATTACATATATAAAGTGAAACTGTAGGATATATGCAATGGGATATTACTCAGTCTTATAAATAATGAGATTCTGACACATGCTACAACATGGATGCAGTACCTAGGAGGCAAACTCATAGAAACAGAAAGTATAATAGAGGTTACCAGAGGCTGGGGGAGGGAGGAATGGGGAATTACTGTTTAATGGGTACAAAGTTTATTTTATTTTATTTATTTAATTTTTTTGAGACAGGGTCTCACTCTGTCACCAGTCTGGAGTGCAGTGGCATGATCATGGTTCACCACAGCCTTGACCTCCCAGGCTCAGGTGATCCTCCCACTTCAGCTTCCTGAGTAGCTAGGACTACAGGCACCTGCCACCACGCCTGGCTAAATTTTGTATTTTTAGTAGAGATAGGGTTTTGCCATGTTGCCCATGCTGGTCTCGAACTCCTGGGCTCAAGTGATCCTCCGACCTCACCCTCCCAAAGTGCTGGGATTACAGATGTGAGCCACTGTGCCCAGCCAGTTTCTTTTCTTTTCTTTCTTTCTTTTTTTTTTGGATACAGAGTCTCACTCTGTCACCCAGGCTGGAGTGCAGTGGCATGATGTCGGCTCACTGCAACCTCTGCCTCCCAGGTTCAAGCAATTCTCTTGCCTCACCCTCCCAAGTAACTTGGATTACAGGCACCTGCCACCACACCTGGCTAATTGTATTTTTAGTAGAGACAGGGTTTTACTATGTTAACCAGGCTGGCCTCAAACTCCAGACCTCAAGTGATCCACATACCTTGGCCTCCCAAAGTGCTGGGATTACAGGTGTGAGCCACCATCCCTCGTCCAGAGTTTCTTTTTATTTTTTCTTTTTTTAAATTTATTGAGGTGGGATTGATATACAGAAATTTGTACATATTTAAGTATGTAATGAATTTGGAGATAAGTATATAATTGTGAAACCATCACCACAATTAATGCCATTAACATATACATCACCTCCAAAAGTTTCCTGTTACTATTAATTATTATCGCTATTTCATGATGATACTTAATATGAGATCTACTCTCAGCACATTTTTAAGTATACGCCATGGTATTGTGAACTCTAGACACCATGCTGTGCAGTGGATCTCTAGGACTTGTTCATCCCACATAACTGAAACTATATCCTTTGACCAACACCTCCCCATGTTCTCCCTCCCCGCAGCCCCCAGCAACCACCATTCTACTCTGCTCCTCTGAGTCCAACTATTTTAGATTCCTCACATAACTGGTATCACACAACATTTGCCCTTCTGTGTCTGGCTCATTTCACTTAGCATAATGTCCTCTAGGTTCATCCATGTTGTCCCAAATAGGCAGGATTTCCTTCTTTTTTAAGGAAAAAAATGTACTTATAAGTATACATCTGTTCCTGTATTTAAGTTGTTTTAAAGTTGAATATAATTCCTTACCTCAAGAATGGGGATCAGAAATCATTTCTCCCAGCTCCACTTCCATAAAATGCAAGCAAGAAGTCACACACAAATAGCAGATTAACTGGGAAGCTTTCTTAGAGAAAGAAAGACACATGTTAAACTCTCTGATGCTGTAGATATAAGGACACAGACTAGAACTCTATCATTCTCACAGGAAAAAGTTGGAAGGGATAATGCAGGCTTCTCAATGTTTCCACCCTGTTACAGGGGGAATCGTGTCCCTCTAAATTCATTTGTTAAAGCCTGAGGCCGGGCATGGTGGCTCACGCCTGTAATCCCAGTACTTTAAGAGGCGGAGGTGGGCGGATCACTTGAGTTTAGGAGTTTGAGACCAGCCTGGCCAATATGGTGAAACCGCATCTCAACTAAAAACACAAAAATTAGCTGGGTGGCACACTCCTGTAATCCCAGCTACTTGGGTGGCTGAAGCAGGAGAATTGCCTGAACCCGGGAGGCGGAGGCTACCGTGAGCCAAGATCATGCCACTGCACTCCAGCCTGGGCGACAGAGCAAGATTCTGTCCATAAATTATTTATTTATGATTAGAGTCCTTATAAGAAGAGATTAGGACACAGACACACAGAAGAAAGCCCATGTGAAGACACATCTACAAAGCAAGGAGGGGGGCTTCAGAAGAAATCAACTCTGCTGACATCTTGATCTTGGACTTCTAGCCTCCCAAAGTGTGAGAGAATACATTTCTGTTGTTTGAGCCACCCAATCTGTTCCTTGTTATGGCAACCCTAGCAAACTAATACACACCCTAAACAATGGAGTGAGCTTCCTTAGGAAACTCATTCCAGACATAGCCCAAAGTGGCTTAGAGCACCCACGAAATTTATCTGAAGCCTTGCTCTATACACATAAATAAATATGGGTTCATATCAGACAATTTAGTATAAAATATTTTAAATCAATTTCCAAAAAGCAAAATAGTCAAAGCCTGCCCCCAACCACCTCCCTATGAGGACTGGGGAGAGGGCCAGAGTGCATAAACCTCAGCTGGGGTGTTGGGTGTCAAGAAACGTGGCCACTGGAATTTTCATTTGCCAATTGCAATTTTTAGGGGCCTTGGCTTTCTCATCTGTAAAATAGGGATTATAATACTCCTCAGGGCATCCTGCCAGATGTCTGTGAAGACTGAACGTAATGATGGAAAAATTTTAGTTCGGTATCCCACATCTGCACCAACACCAACATACTCAGGGTTGCTCCAGGGAAAAAAGAAAATGAAGAAGAAAAAAGATCTACGTTTTAAGTTTAGGGATATTATAAGGGAATCTCTGTTGATCTAGGTGCATCAATTGTTGTATATCCTAACAGATGCACTTCTGGTTATTACATCAAAATATGGTCAACACCCCTCCTCACCCTCTTTGCCTTCTGCTGTGGTAGGATTAGCTGCAAGCAACAGGCTGTCAGAAAGCGACATCTTGCGGCCTTTGTGGGACCTGCCCTCCGGGACACAGTACTTGGTGTTCTCAAACTCTTGTCAAGGGCTTAAAAAAGGCACAAAGCACTACTCCCTGTCTACCCAAAACAGTCAGGTTACTAATTTGACACCCTTAAATTCAGTATATTTTAAATGTTTGTCTAACCCATTCATTTAGTGAAGGCATGAGAAACTGATTTTCTATCAGCAAAATCATGTATTTGTGTTCAGTATAAGTTTATTACATGCACTAATAAAGCATTATACTTCAAACTATTTCGAGTTGTCTTCCATGTCAAAATGTTTTCTTCTCTTACAATGGGATAATTTTAGTTCTTTTAGTAATGAAGGAATAACTTACAGGAATGTGGTTATACAGTTTTATTAAAAATGTGTTAAAAATTTTAAGCTTTCTTTTTAGGAAAATATATACTTCCTCACATATCTATTTTTTGAATAATATCATTAATTATTAGCATTATTTATGTTTATTTGACACAGGATTTTCAAATACATATGTTTTAAAGAAATTAGGTTCACTTAAAACTATAAGTCATTTGCAAATGAGATTTCTCACTGATAGTTTTTCTATAAATATTGATTCAGACAGTGATTATTGGAAACTAGAGGAAATAGAAAGAAGGTTTGGTTTTGCATGAATACCTGATAATATAACATGATCTCAGAGGCCAAAATGGTCTCCCCAAGCTACCTGGCAGGATCATTGTAATAATGACCTCTCCATCAGTCAAATCTTGCTTCACTGAACATAATGGAAATTCAGTTCCGCATGCCAAGCACAGCATTTTAGGTACAGAAACTTGAGCAAAATACCCGACACTGCAGACATTGAACATTCTCCTATTTTATATTCCATCTGAAATTCTGAATGTGAAACAGATTCTGCAGAAGGAACTTCAGTTCCAGAGAAACTTTCTTTTAAAGTTATTGTATATTTTAAGAATGAAACAACATGGGGGCTATTTTTAGTTTGATTTTTATAAATTTATAACCAAGAGAAAAGAAAAACTAGACTTCTGTGTTTTATGTTCTTGGTATGCTTGGCAAGAAATGTAGCAAAGTCATTTAATGGGTAGAGAAAAGAAAGTTCCATGGGATATTAGATATCAAATCTTGGCAGTATTTTCGTATATTTTCTAATGTTTCTGGGTCAGGTCACCTGGATTTGAATTCTGGCTCCATCACTCACTCCATCACTCAAGGTTAACTTAGAGTTAACCTCTCTGTGCCTGAGTTTCTTTGTATAATTATGGCACCTATCCCATAGTGTTGTTATGTGACTATGTGAGACAAAATGTGTCAAGTGTTTAGCACAAGAAGCATTTAACAGATGTCAGCTACTAACTTTCATGTGCGTCCGTGTGAAGAGACCACCATACCAAACAGGCTTTGTGTGAGCAACAGGGCTGTTTATTTCACCTGGGTGCAGGTGGGCTGAGTCTGAAAAGAGAGTCAGCCAGCGAAGGGAGATAGGGGTGGGGCCGTTTTAAAGGATTTGGGTAGGTAAAGGAAAAAAGGGGGGTTGTTCTCTGGCGGGCAGGAGTGGGGGTCACAAGGTGCTCAGTAGGGGAGCTTTTGAGCCAGGATGAGCCAGGAGAAGGAATTTCACAAGATAATGTCATCAGTTAAGGCAGGAACAGGCCATTTTCACTTCTTTTGTGGTGGAATGTCATCAGTTAAGGCAGGAACCGGCCATCTGGATGTGTACGTGCAGGTCATGGGATATGATGGCTTAGCTTGGGCTCAGAGGCCTGACATTCCTGTCTTCATATATTAATAAGAAAAATAAAATGAAATAGTGGTAGAATGTTGGGACGGTGAAAATTTTTGGGGGTGTTATGGAGAGACAATGGGCGATGTTTCTCAGGGCTGCTTTGAGCGGGATTAGGGGAGGTGTAGGAACCTAAAGCGGGAGAGATTAAGCTGAAGGAAGATTTTGTGGTAAGGGATGATATTGTGGGGTTGTTAGAAGAAACATTTGTCATTTAGAATTATTGGTGATGGTCTGGATATGGTTTTGTATGAATTGAAAAGCTAAATGGAATAAGAGAAGGAGAAAGACAAGTATTAAAGGTCTAAGAATTGGGAGGACCTAAGACATCTAATTAGAGAGTGCCTAAGGAGATTCAGCATAGTCCTGCCAGCAAAGATTATTTATTTACTTTAAGAGTTAAGACTGGCAGTTTGGGGATAGCACCAGGAGATATCAGCTGTGATGGCTTGGAGAAACAGTGTAAACAAGAGCAGGGCATGTATGAGTAGTTGAGAACGGTGAATAGGAGTATGACTAGACAGGAGATAGTAGGGATGACAAGTTTTTTGGGGCACAGTCCAAGTTGGTCTGGTGTCTGGAATGAGACTGGGGCCTAATAAAAAGGAGCGTCTATACAGGAACTTAAATGGGCTGTACCTTGTAGCATTCTGAGGACAGGCCTGAATTCTGAGAGGGGAAAGTGGTAAAAGTATTGTCCAGTCCTTTTTAAGTTGGTGGCTGAGCTTGGTGAGGTGTGTTTTTTTTTTTTTTTTTTTTTTTTTTTTTTTTTTTTTTTTTGAGACGGAGTCTCGCTCTGTCGCCCAGGCTGGAGTGCAGTGGCGGGATCTCGGCTCACTGCAAGCTCCGCCTCCCGGGTTCATGCCATTCTCCTGCCTCAGCCTCCCAAGTAGCTGGGACTACAGGCGCCCGCCACTACGCCCGGCTAATTTTTTGTATTTTTAGTAGAGACGGGGTTTCACCGTTTTAGCCGGGATGGTCTCGATCTCCTGACCTCGTGATCCGCCCGCCTCGGCCTCCCAAAGTGCTGGGATTACAGGCGTGAGCCACCGCGCCCGGCCTGAGGTGTGTTTTTAAAAGACCATTAGTCCATTCTACCTTTCCTGAAGACTGAGGACTGTAAGGATTATAAAGGTTTCACTGAATACCAAGAGCCTGAAAAAAAATGCTTGGCTGATTTGACTAATAAAGGCCAGTCTGCTATCGGACTGTATAGAGGTGGGAAGGCCAAACCAAGGAATTATATCTGACAGAAGGGAAGAAATGACCGTGGTGGTCTTCTTAGACCCTGTGGGAAAGGCCTCTACCTATCCAGTGAAAGTGTCTACCTAGACCAAGAGGTATTTTAGTTTCCTGACTCAGGGCATGTTGAGCAAAGTCAATTTGCCAGTCCTGGGTGGGGGCAAATCTCTAAGCTTGATGTGTAGGGAAGGGAGGGGGCCTGAATAATCCCTGAGAAGTTGTAGAATAGCAGACGGAACACTGAGAAGTGATTTCCTTGAGGATAGATTTCCACGATGGAAAGGAAATGAGAGGTTCTAAGAGGCAGGCTAGTGGCTTGTACTATAGCACAGCCTGCCTTTGCTGGTGTGTGGCGATTAGGCCTGATGGAACTGCCATCAATAAACCAAGTGTGATCAGGGTGAGGAACAGGAAAGAAGGAAATATGGGGAAATGGGGTGAATGTCAGGTGGATCAGAGAGATACAGTCATGGGGGTCAGGTGTGGTATCAGGAATAATGTGGGAGGCCGGATTAAATCTGGGCCAGGAACAATGGTAATTGTGGGAGACTCAACAAAGAGTGAGTACAGCTGAAGGAGCCGGGGAGCAGAAAGTATATGTGTCAGGTGGGAGGAAGAAAATAGATTTTGGAAGTTATGAGAACTGTAGAGAGTGAGTTGAGCATAGTTTGTGATTTTAAGGGCCTCTAAAAGTATTAGGGCGGTGGCGGCCGCAGCACGCAGACTTGAGGGCTAGGCAAAACAGTAAGGTCAAATTGTTTGGATAAAAAGGCTACAGGGCGCGGTCCCGGTTCTTGTGTAAGAATTCTGACTGCACAGCCCTGCACTCCAGCTGTGGGTAATGAAAAGGGTTGGGATCATTCAGGGAGATCTAGGGTAGGGGCAGTCTCTAAAGTTGTCTTCAGGGAACAGAAAGGAGTGGGGAAAGGATTTAGGATCTATGGGGTCAGCTAGGTTTCCTTTTGTGAGTTTACATAATGGTTTTGTTAGGATGGCAAAACCAGGTATCTAAAGTCAAAAGTATCCAACCATGCCTAGGAAGGAAAGGAGTTGTTTTGTAGAAGGTGCTGGGGTTTAAGAGATCAGTCGGACACGATCGGCAGGGAGAGCACGTGTGTTTTTATGAGAATTATGCCGAGATAGGTAACAGATGAGGAAGAAATTTGGGCTTGACTGAAGTAATGGGGGCTATCTGTGAAGCTTTGCGGCAGTACAGCACAGGTGATTTGCTGAGCCTGATGGGTGTCAGGGTCAGTCCAAGTGAAAGTGAAGAGAGGCTGGGATGAAGGGTGCAAAGGAATAGTAAAGAAAGCATGTTTGAGATCCAGAACAGAATAATGGGTTGTGGAGGGAGGTATTGAGCATAGGAGAGTATATGGGTTTGGCACCACGGGGTGGATAGGCAAAACAATTTGGTTGATAAGACGCAGATCCTGAACTAACCTGTAAGCCTTGCCTGGTTTTAGGACAGGTAAAATGGGGGAATTGTAAGGGGAGTTTATAGGCTTTAAAAGGCCATGCTGTAGCAGGCGATTGATAAGACTTTAATCCTTTTAAAGCGTGCTAAGGGATGGGATATTGGCATTGAGCGGGATAAGGGTGATTAGGTTTTAATGGGATGGTAAGGGGTGCATGATCGGTCGCCAAGGAGGGAGTAGAGGTGTCCTATACTTGTGGGCTAAGGTGGGGAGATACAAGGGGAGGATGTGAAGGAGGCTTTGAACTGGGGGAAAAGGCAGCAATGAGGTGTGGCTGTAGCCCAGGAATAGTCAGGGAAGCAGATAATTTAAATTTAGTTAAAGTGTCTCGGCCTAATAAGGGAACAGGGCAGGTGGGGATAACTAAAAAGGAGTGCTTAAAAGAGTATTGTCTAAGTTGGCACCAGAGTTGAGGAGTTTTAAGAGGTTTAGAAGCCTGGCCGTCAGTACCTGCAATAGTTACGGAGGCAAGGGAAACAAGCCTTTGAAAAGAAGGTAATGTGGAGTGGGTTGCCTCTGTATTGATTAAGAAGGGGACAGACTTACCCTCCACTGTGAGAGTTACCCAGAGCGTCTGTGATGGTCCTGTAGGCTTTTGAGGCGATCTGGCAGTGTCAGTCTTCAGCTGCTAAGCTGAGAAGATCTGGGAAGGAGTCAGAGAGCCTTGGGCCAGAGTTCTAGGGGCCCTGAGAGTGGCTGCCAGGTGAGTTGAACAGTCCGATTTTCAGTTGGGTCCTGCACAGATGGGACACGGCTTAGGAGGAATCCCGGGCTGTGGGCATTCCTTGGCCTAGTGGCCAGATTTCCGGCACTTGTAGCAAGCTCCTGGGGGAGGAGGTTCTGAAGGAAACTCTGGCCACTGCGGTTTAGGTGTTTGGAAGTTCTTGTGTGCTGGAGATGTGGCTGGGGTTTGTCTCACAGTGGAGGCAAGGAATTGCAACTCAGAAATATGTTGCTACTTGGCTGCCTCTACTTTATTATTGTACACCTTAAAGGCGAGGTTAATTAAGTCCTGTTGTGGGGTTTGAGGGCTGGAATTTAATTTTTGGAGTTTTATTTAATGTCAGGAGCGGATTGGGTAATAAAATGTATATTGAGAATAAGACGGCCTTTTGACCTTTTAGGGTCTAGGGCTGTAAAGCGTCTCAGGGTTGCTGCCGAACGAGCCATGAACTGGGCTGGATTTTTCATATTTGATGAAAAAGCCTGAATGCTAACTGATTTGAGAGAGGTCGGATAAAGAAAAAGGAGCATTAACCTTGACTGTGCCTTTAGCTCCAGCCACCTTTTTAAGAGGAAATTGCTGGGAAGGTTGGGGCGGGCTAGTCACAGAATGAAACTGTAAGCCAGACCGGGTGTGAGGAGGGGAGGTGATAAAAGGATTATAGGGTGTGGGAGCAGAGGCCGAGGAAGAATTGAGACCTGGCTCGGCCTGGCGAGGAGCAGCCTGGGGAAGAGGGGAGAGGTCAGATGGGTCTGTAGAAAAGGAAGATTAGAAAGACTCAGCGATGCTTGGGGTTGGGACTGAGAGGACAGGCGGGAGGGAAAGAAGGAGGATTTGGGACGAGTCGCATTGGGAACAGAGAGAAGGGAGGGAACAGTGTGTAAAAGAATGCCTGGACGTCAGGCACCTCAGACCATTTGCCCATTTTATGACAAGAATCATCTCGATCTTGTAGGATGGAAAAATCAAAAGTGCTGTTTTCTGGCTATTTGGAGCCATTGTCAAGTTTCTATTGGGGCCAAGCGGTGTTGCAGAAGAAAATAAGATGCTTAGATTTTAGGTCAGGCGAGAGTTGAAGAGGTTTTAAGTTCTTAAGAACACAGGCTAAGGGAGAAGAAGGAGGAATGGAGGGTGGAAGGTTGCCTATAGTGAAGGAGGCAAGTTTAAAGAGAAGGGTAGAGACACGGAGAAGGGGGTGGGGAACAGCCCTGGGCTGCAATGTGGGCGAGCAGCCAAAGCAGGCGTCCCCGCAATTGACTCGCCACCAAGGGAATGTGGGTGAATGATCAAGGCAGGCGTCCCCGCAATTGACTTGCCACCAAGGGAATGTGGGTGAATGATCAAGGCAGGTGTCCCCGCAATTGACTCGCCACCAAGGGAATGTGGGTGAATGATCAAGGCAGGTGTCCCCGCAGAGATCAGACACCAGTGGAACGTGGGTGAATAATCAGAGAGCTGTCCTTGCAATGATTAAACACCAAGGGAAGGCTGCCTTCCTGAGTCCGTGACCGGTGCTGGAGTTTTGGGTCCACGGATAAAATGTGTCTCCTTTGTCTCTACCAGAAAATGAAAGGAATTGAAATTAAGAGAAGGGAGATTGAAGTGTGGCACCAAGATTGAAAGGAGAAAGAGGTTGAGGGATCGTGAGAGAGGTTGGAGAAGAAAGTAAAAACAGGCCGCTTACTGTATTTGAAATTGGTGAGATGTTCCTTGGGCTGGTCGGTCTGAGGACCCAAGGTCATAGGTGGATCTTTCTCAAGGGGGGACAGGGGATTGATATCCCAAGGGAGGTCCCCCGATCCGAGTCATGGCACCAAATTTCATGTGTGTCTGTGTGAAGAGACCACCAAACAGGCTTTGTGTGAGCAACAAGGCTGTTTATTTCACCTGGGTGCAGGTGGGCTGAGTCCGAAAAGAGAGCCAGCGAAGGGAGATAGGGGTGGGCCGTTTTATAGGATTTGGGTAGGTAAAGGAAAAAAGGGGGGTTGTTCTCTGGCGGGCAGGAATGAGGGTCACAAGGTGCTCAGTAGGGGAGTTTTTGAGCCAGGATGAGCCAGGAGAAGGAATTCCACAAGATAATATCATCAGTTAAGTTAGGAACAGACCATTTTAACAATATTATTATGAATTCTAGGAACCTTTGCTTTGAGCTAATAGGAAACTCCCAACATTCCTTTGATTCAGGTTGTGGTTCAAACTCTTATTTTTATTCCAGGCTAGTTCAAACTCTATTTTTATTCCAGAACAGCAGACAAGCTAGTTTTTCTGTCTGGTGCATATTCTGCCTGTTGCTGGTTTCATTAAGTAACAGGAGACTGTGCTCTCTTAGATAGGAGTCAACTAGATAGTAATGTTCCTTCAACAAGAAATAATGTCCCTTTCAAAATGTATAATGGCCATTGGCCAGAAGAGGTGGTGTGGCTTCATGATCTGCCAATGGCAAGCTCAAGGAGCTGCGTTGCTCATTTCTGTTGAGTTCCTGGGGCTCTTGCTGCAGAGCTGTGCCTTTTGTTGACCTCCTGTGCTGTTCACACGTGCTACAAATCTCAGGGCAGATCACAATGACAGAAGGCACAGGGCGAGAGGGAGAAGTGTGAACACTGCTCTGTATCACTATTTCAAATGAAGGTTGACACCCCAGAATGCAACAAAAGCCACTCACTCAAATGCCTACACAGAGAATACAGGTAATAATATGTATGAGTTAAGTGGGCTGAGTGTAAGGGAAAAAAAAGCTCTACAGTGCAGGCAGAATAACAAATGTCAATTGATACTTGGACGCTGGGTATTAATAGGCGGTGGCGGAGGCTGTGTGAACTGAAGAACATATCCCATATAAAGGAGGCTCTCAGCTCTGTTACGTTTTACAAGAGAACCTTGAAATGCAGGTTTTATTTATATAATGATAATACTAAGAAGAAGCACAAAAACACTTTGTAGGCAAACATTGAACTAGTATAAACATCTGTTTCCTTCAAATGACATGCGTGTCATCAATTTGCAACCTCTGCAACATGGGTCTTTGGGCCTATCCATTTCAACCTCTCACCCGCTGCAGGCATTCCCTCTCCAGTATCCCTGTTGGAACACTTCCTGTGATGGGCTGGTCCCTTCTTCACCAGGCTCTGCATTCTATTATGTAAATGGTTATGTTTACTGAGTTGATGTTGTCTGTTTGGAATTTGCTGCAGTTTGTCCTCCTTTGATCCTTTGGAGAACTGAAGAGTAAAACAGCCTGTTTTATTTTTTTGAGATGAAGTCTTGCTCTGCCACCCAGCCTGGAGTGCAGTGGCACGACCTTGGCTCACTACAACCTCCGTCTCCCAGGTTCAAGCAATTCTCCTGCCTCAGCCTCCTGAGTAACTGGGATTACAGGCATGCACCACCACACCTGGCTAATTTTTGTATTTTTGTTAGAGACAGGGTTTCACCATGTTGGTCAGGCTGGTCTCAAACTTCTGACCTCGTGAGCAGCCCGTCTAGGCCTCCCAAAGTGCTGGGATTACAGGCGTGAGCCACCGCGCCTGGCCAGACAGCCTGTTTTATATATGATGGCTTCCCTAGGAAGTAATTAACAGTTGTCATGCCATACTTTCCCACTACCCCCAAGTCTTCCTTAAACTGTGTCGCCCATGACATAGTTTCTAGGCTTCAACTTGTCACTATCCAGTTCCTCACCTCTAGAAGTGCTCCTTCAGAAACCTCATGGTCAGAACTGGAGGTGTGATGGCAGGGCAAACAAAGGCAGACATCTTGTAAATTTCTTCTCTGAGATGCTAAGCAATGGGGACATCTGCCCTGCCAAGTCACGTCTTCCCCCTTTGGCACATATTTTGGGGTAATTAGGGAATGGGGAGAGGAAAAATATCACTCTTGCAAAGCTATGTGGAAAAGTAGAACAATTTTACTGGGAAAGGCATTTGCTTCAAGCTGACGCATGGGGTTTTTTACAGATGCTGCATTTGTGTTTAACCTGGGACCTCGGATACTCTGAGGGCCACAAAGAGATACAGAAGCCCCCCCGGGAAGAGGAAGAAGTCAATCAGATTGGCTGTCTGGGAAGCCAGCAATGGGTGTCAGGCACTTTTGGGGAGCACAAGGAAGGTTGGGCAGAATCAAGCCTCCCTGAGGAAGGGAGAAGTATGAATAACTCACAACCAATGACCTTGAAAGGGTGGGAGAAGACGTGGGTTGGGAATGTCATTATGGTTCCCAAGGCCTGCAGAGCCCCCAACCCCTCTCCCCACCCTGTCCTCTCAGAACTTCTCACCTAAACCAGTCTTAGGACTTGTAAGGGGTGGAAGTGATGCCCTGAGGTTATGGTTGGAGGCTGTCTATGGAGGTAGGGAGCACCTATATGCTTGGAGATGAGGCTTCCCCAGCTTTGAAGGATCTTACCTCTGGATGGAATTAGCAGTGGCTCCTTAGGGCTAAATGGCTATGACTGCATCCAGTGGGACTACATATAGGGATATAAATATGTGACCATATGCAATTTTTAAAACAAAAATATTGTCATTCTTTACCTATTTTTCTTCATTGCACCCCCTCCCCCTTAATATTATCTCATGGAGCTCTTTTCAAGTCAATAGATATTAGATTTGCCTTATTCCTTTTAACAGCTGAACGGTATTCCATAGTTTCACTCGCTTCCGTGTGAAGAGACCACCAAACAGGCTTTGTGTGAGCAATAAAGCTGTTTATTTCACCTGGGTGCAGGCGGGCTGAGTCCGAAAAGAGTCAGTGCAGGGAGATGGGGTGGGGCCGTTTTATAATATTTGGGTAGGTAAAGTAAAATTACAGTCAAAGGGGGGTTGTACTCTGGCGGGCAGGAGTGGAGGTCACAAGGTACTCAGTGGGGGAGCTTTTGAGCCAGGATGAGCCAGGAGAAGGAATTTCACAAGACAATGTCATCAGTTAAGGCAGGAATAGGCCATTTTCACTTCTTTTGTGGTGGAATGTCATCAGTTAAGGCAGGAACCGGCCATCTGGATGTGTACGTGCAGGTCACAGGGGATATGATGGCTTAGCTTGGGCTCAGAGGCCTGACACATAGTATGACTGTATCTTCACATTCAGGTTATTTCTAATTGTTTCTAGTTATAAATAATGTTGCAAAGCCCATCTTTAAAAAAAAAAAAATAGCCGAGGTCTCACTATGTTGCCCAGGCTGGTCTTGTCTTGAACTTCTGGACTCAAGCAATCCTCCTCCCTCGGCCTCCTAAAGTTCTGGGATTACAGGCATAAGTCACTGCAACTGACCTCCAACATTATACATATATCTTTTTAGATATTTTCTAATATTAATATAGAATATAGAACTAAAGTGGAATCGTTGGGCCTAAGAGAATGCCCACTGCTATGATTTGAATGTATGTGTCCCTCCGCAATTCATTACATTGGAAACAATACCCAATGTGATAGTATTAAGAGATGGAGCCTTTGGGGAAGTGATTAATCATGAGCACACTGCCCTCATGAATGGGATTAGCGCTCTTACAGAAGAGGTTGAAGAGGGCACCCAGTCCCTTTTGTTCTTCTGCCATCTGCTACGTAAGGACTCACCAATAAGGCACCATTTTGGAAGCAGAGGGCAAATCCTCCCTTGACACTGAAAGGGCCTTCATCAGTGGACTGACTTCCCAGCCTCCAGAACTGTGGGGAATAAATTTTTGTTAATCATAATTACCCAGTCTAAGATATTTTGTTATAGCAGCAGGAATGTTTCACGCGCATCCGTGTGAAGAGACCACCAAACAGGCTTTGTGTGAGCAATAAAGCTTTTTAATTACCTGGGTGCAGGCGGGCTGAGTCCGAAAAGAGAGTCAGTGAAGGGAGATAGGGGTGGGGCCGTTTTATAGGATTTGGGTAGGTAGTGGAAATTACAGTCAAAGGGGGTTGTTCTCTGGCGGGCAGGGGCGGGGGACACAAGGTGCTCAGTTGGGGAGCTTTTGAGCCAGGATGAGCCAGGAGAAGGAATTTCACAAGGTAATGTCATCAGTTAAGGCAGGAGCAGGCCATTTTCACTTCTTTTGTGATTCTTCAGTTACTTCAGGCCATCTGGATGTATATGTGCAGGTCACAGGGGATATGATGCCTTAGCTTGGGCGCACAGGCCTGACAGAATGGACTAACATACCCACTTATATTTTAATAGATAATGATGTCATGCCCACAAACAAATGACCATAATTTAAGTAGCAAAGAAAACAAAGTACAAGAAGATAATAAAGATAAGAGCACACATTAATGAAATCATATAGAAAAACACAGTAGAGATGCTCAACCAAACCCAAACTTGTATTTTTTCAATAGAAGAATAAAATACAACCTTGTAACTTTAGTTAAGTCAGAAAAAGGATGCATAGCAATATAACGTATGAAAAAGGGACATAATTACAAATGCAACAGATTAAAAAAATAAGTACTACAAACAACTTTATGCTAATAGTTTGAAAGCTTCCATGAAATAGACATGTTTCTAGGAAAATAAAACTTATAAAACTCACTTGCACAGAAAAAGAAAACCAAATCTGTAACAGTTGAAGAAACTGAATTAGTAGATTAAAATCAACCTACAAAACAATTCTGCTAAACGTTCAAAGAACTGACAACTCTAGGCCAGGCATGGTGGCTCACACCTGTAATCCCAGCATTTTGGGAAGCCGGGACAGGAGGATCGTTTGAGGCCAGGAGTTCAAGACCAACTTGGGCAACATAGTGAGACCCCATCTCAATTAAAAACAAACAAACTGACAATTCTAATTTTATACAAACCCTTTCAGAGATTAGAAAAAGAGGCAACATCCCCTCAAATCATTTTACGAGGCTAGTGATGACCTTGATTCCAAAGCCAGAATGAAAAAGAAAAAATAAAGCATCAAATTTATTCATGATTTTAGATGCAAAAATCCTAAACAAAATAATGGCATACTTTAGTAATGTATTAAATAAAAAATGACCTAGTTAGGTTTACCCTAGAAATGTAAGCATCAAATATATCTACTATTAGCAAATCTAATAATGTAATTCACCAGATTAACAGATTAAAAGAGAATAATCACAATCAGTGCTGAAAAATAGTTTATGAAAATGCAACACTCATTTATGATAGCAGCTAAGGGAAATGGATCATTCCATGTACCCCATTTGGAAAAGCAGACATGATACGGGTTGGGAATGTTCCTTCACTAGAAGTGGTTGGAGGAGTCTTAACTCTTTGAGGCACAAATGCGAAATGATGGACTTTTTCCCAGTGACCAGTTGGACTCTGTGGAACCTTCTTTCCCACTTGTAGCTTCCCTTAATAATATCTCAGGCTTCTCCCTTCATGTTCAGTTACTAAGAATCACTGGACAAAATGATAGACATCTAGATCAATGGAATAGAACTAAGAATCCAGAAATAAACCCTTGCATTTATAGTCAATTGATTTTCCACAAGGATGCTAAGACAATTCAGTGGAGGAAAGAATTATCTTTTCAATTAATGGTGCTAGGATAATTGGCTACCCACATGCAGAAGAATGAAGTTGCACTCCTTACGCATACCTTACCCAAAAATTAACTCAAATGGATTGTAAATGTAAGAGCTAAAACTAAAAAACTTTCAGAAGAAAAACAGAAGTATTTGTGATTTGAGCTTAGATATGACAGCAAAAGCATAAGCAATAAAAGAAAAAAGTAAGACTTCATCAAAATTAAAAACTTTTATGCTTTAAAGAACACCCTCAATAACATGAAAAGATAACCCATTGAATGGAAGAAAATATTTGCAAATCGTGGATCAAATAAGAAACTTGTATCTAGAATACATAACAAACTCTTACATCTCAATAGGAAGAATTCAAATTATTCAACTTAAAAATGGCGCCGGGTGCAGTGGCTCATGCCTATAATCCCAGCACGTTGGGAGGCTGAGGTGGGAGGATTGCTTGGAACCCAGGAATTGGAGACTAGCTGGGCAACATAGGGAGGCTCTGTCTCTACAAAACTAAAAAAATTAGGGAGTGGTGGCTTGCGCTTGCAGTCCTAGCTACTCGGGAATTTGAAGTGGGAGGATTCCTTTAAGCCCCAGGAATTCTAGGGTGCAGTGAGCCGTTGTTATCACACCACTGCATTCCAGCCTGGGCGACAAAGTGAGGCCCCGTTCCAGAAATAAATAAATAAAAGGCAAAGGCTCTGAACAGACATTTTTGCAAAGAAGATATGTCAATGGCCAATAAGTACATGAAAAGATGCTCAATATCTTTAGCCATCAGGGAAATGCAAACGAAAACCACAATGAGATACTTCACATCTACCAGGATGGCTATGAATTTTTTTTTAAAAATAGATAATAACAAATGTTGGTAAGCATAAGGAGAAATTGGAACCCTCATACATGCTGATGAGAATGTAAAATGTTGTAGCTGCAGTGGAAAAATCTGGCAGTTCCTCAAACAGTTAAAACTAGAGTTACCATACAACCCAGCAATTCCACTCCTAGTTATATCCCCAAGAAAAACAAAGACATTATGTCCACACAAAAACTTGAGTGTTCATAATATCATTATTCATAATAGTCCAAAAGTAGAAACAACTCAAATGTTTGCTAACTGATAACATGGATAATAATTGCATAAAGTAAAATGTATACACATACTATAGACTATATTCGGCAATAAAAGTTGAGGCAGTCCTGATCCATGCTGCAATATGAATGCATTATCTTGCATTCATATTGATAACACATGAATTTTGAACCCATTATCTTAAGTAAAAGAAGCCCATCACAAAGAACCACATATTGCAAGTTCCATTTATGTGAAATGTCCAAACTTACAGAGACAGAAAGTAGATTTCGTGGTTGCTTAGGCTGGGGGAACTTGGGGAGAAATAGGGACTGTCAGCTAACTCTTCTTGGAGTGATGAAAATGTTCCAAAGTTAGATTGTGGAGATGATTGTATGAATCTGTGAATATACTAAAAAATTTGAATTGTATACTTTAATTCATTTTATTTTATTTTTTTAGGATCTCAGTCTGTTGTAGTGGCAAAATCATGCTCACTATAACCTCAAACTCCTGGGCTCAAGTGATCCTCCTGCCTCAGCTTCCTGAGTAGCTGGGACTACAGGCGTGCATCCCCCACGCCGGGCTAATTTTTAAATTTTGTGTAGAGATGGAGTCCCCTTATGCTGTCCAGGCTGGTCTCAAACTCCTGGGCTCAAGGGATCCTCCTGTCTTGGCCTCCCAAAGCATTGGGATTATAGGTGTGAGCCACCATGCCTGGCTGAATTGCACCCTTTACAAGGGTGAATTGTGTGGTATGTGGATTCTATCTCAATAAAGCCACAAAAAGTAAAGAGTCTCTGGATGTTTAAAAAAAAAAAAAAAGTGCACTCTTCCCAGGCAGGCACTTGAGGTTTCTGTGACTTGGGGCAGGGAGGGAGGTGATGAGGTTTGCTCTCCCATTCTCTATTTTCTCTGAGATATCAGGGAAAGGAGGCAAGAGAGGGGAGAGGTATCAGAACACTGCTTTCTGTGACTCCTTGCGTGAGGTTACAGTCTTCTTTCTGCTGGCATCACTTCTTTTGTTCCTATCTGGCTGTCTGTTCCTCTGCCAGGCAGGTGTCTGAGTGCTGGCTTTCCAGTGGGTCCTTCTGACACAATCCTCTGGTGAGCAAGTTCTGACTGAACTTCATCCATCTACTTTTTTCCTCAGCCTCTTAGGATGATGAAATTCTCCCAACCTTCCTCAGTGCCCACACAACCCATGGAAAACCCACATCTCCTTGCCAAGCCACCCTGTGGGAATGCCACTGGCTACCCTAGTCTTCCTCTCTTCCGCTCAGCCCTCTCTCGACCTGCCAGCAACACTGGCCTGGGCATTGGGCAGTTCAATGGCGCTGAAGTTTTCAGATGAAAGGCATTGCCAGTCCCTTACTTGGTGAAGGGGAAAGGGTCTGGAGGAATACTTAAGCTACCCCCGATCTTATGGAGGGAGGGGAACTTATTTAAGCCTTCCCGGCTCCCCCATGGGATGAGAAGAGATGGCTGCTGCTCATGAATTCTGCTCTCACTTGCCTCCTCTTCTTCCCTGTGGTGGGGGTGACTTGTGAGAGAAAGTGGATGCTGGAGCGCTGGTTCTGCAGAAGTCCTGTGAAATTATGACTTCCAGCAGCTCCTGCATGGAGATACCGGC
Source organism: Homo sapiens (assembly GCF_000001405.40). Taxonomy (NCBI): domain Eukaryota; kingdom Metazoa; phylum Chordata; class Mammalia; order Primates; family Hominidae; genus Homo; species Homo sapiens. The sequence continues at coordinate 98,279,365 of NC_000009.12, forward strand.
CCACATCTGAAGGTCCTTTGAACTCAGAATGGAAGCTCTAAAATCAAATCCAAGACTACTTGGCTTTTGCACTACTGAGTTTGAATTAACCCCAGGTGGTCTTCTCCACGCTTAGTGAGAAGATGGTGGCCTGCAGCTGCTTCTCCTCCCTCCACCCTTTACCTGAGCGGTGGAAATGACTTGAGCTTTTAGAGATGTGCGTGGGACACTTTCTCTAATTTTCAGAGACCATCTAGATAGAATAATCTTTATGGAAGAGGATATGGATTTGCTCTGATTGGTTGGGCCATTGTAGCAAGAATTAAAGAGAGAGGAGTTGAATGTGCAGGTTTCTGACACTACTCCAATCTCAAAACTTTCCCTCCCTCCCTCCTCCTTTCTTCCCTCCCCACTTTCTTCCCTTTTTTCTTCTCAGTCCATTTTCTCGTCGTTTGTCTGTAATCTCTTATTTCACAGAAAAAACTCAGAACTGGCTTTTCTTTGCAGATGGGGTGAACACCTTCCATCTTGCCTCCCCTGCCCTGAGATGCTGGCAGAGTCCTTCTGCTAGATCCTGGAGGCCTGGTTGAGTGGCCCAGGGTGAAGATCTGGGATGGGGGCATCTAGTCAATGGGCAACTTGGGCATAGGATTTTGTGTCTGCATAGGTTCTTCTCTGCTGTGGCAGAGCTGCCAGCCTCTAGCCCTGAGTGAATCGGCATCCTTCCTGATGTGGAGGTCGCCCTACCTCTTCAGTTAGTTTTGACCAACTCCCCACCTCCACCTCCACTCCCATCGAGGGGCTGGTGCCTTCAGAGCTGTGGCCACCACAGCCATGGCAGGTGTCTGTTGTCATAGCCGCCCAGGAGCTCTGGTACTGCCATCATCATTGCCACTGTCACTGTTGCTCAACATGGAGCTGCCCCTGCTCCCCCAGGCTCCCTTGCCCTCAAAACCAGGTGTCCCTGAGGCCCAGAATCTCCCAGGGGCTGGTTTATGAGTCAACCTGAGGAGCCCAGGGGCCTGGAGTGTATCTCCCAGCGTTGCTCTGAGCCACTGGCTTGCTCATGGTCACATTGCCTGGGCCAGAGGCTCTCAGACTGGGGCCTAGAGCCTCAGATGATGCCCTTGGTGAATCTTGGGGGTCTGCAAATCTTCTATAAACTGAAAACAAGAGGGATTTTTATTTCAAGATAATCTTTAAAAAAAGCATATCCTGGGTCATCTGAATCCGGCTAATTGTGACTAGGGTTTAAAGAAGTGGTAAAGGTGGTCTACTCTGGATCGGGCTGCTGTGTTCAAATTGTGACTCACTCCACATCCCAGCTGTGTGACCCAGGACAGCACTCACCCGCTGTGCCTGAGTGCCTTTAGCTGCAGAAGGGTGGTAATGATCGGTTCTGCGCTGGGGTCCCTGTGAGAGCTAAATGAGATTATGCTTGCAAAGCACTTAGCCTGGGGCTTAATGGGCATCTGCACTCAATCACGACTCCAATTGTGTGTATTATCAGATGGCCCCACTATTGTCAATGGCTCATGAGAGAAAACAAACAAAGGTGGCCTTAATAGGGAAGTGATATGTTAGAGTCCAGGGACAGCCCAGTGATATTGCAGCATGCTGAATAAATGAAGTTTTCACAGAAGTTTAAATAAAGAAAAGCAGTGTGATAATTGAGCCATCACACCAGGCTGGCTGAAGTCACAGGAACATGCCCGGCAGCAGTCAGAGCTGTGCTCGTGTGGTGAGCTGCCACTTATTTTTCGGCAAAACCTCATCTATCCCATTCCATCCATGTTGTTAACATGATTTTTATTGGCTTTGCTATTTTGTTTGGATTTTATATGAATGCTGTAAGCCTAAGCTTATATCTGGTTTGAGCACATTTCATAATTTAAGTCAACACAGTTTGAAAAGGTGTCCATATGTCTCTCTCTCTTTCCGCTTTCTTTCAACAGGGTCTCACTCTTTTGCTCAAGCTGGAGTGTAGTGGTGCAATCAGAGCTCACTGCAGTAACTTTCTTTATAAAAACAATTTAACTCAACACTAAAAAGGTGTCCATATGTCTCTTTTCTTTCTTCTCTTTCTTTTCCTTCCTTCCTTCTTTCTTTCCTTTTTTCTTTCCTTCCTTTCTTTCTCTCTCTCTCCTTCCCTTCCTTCCTTCCTCTTTCCTTCCTTCCTGTCTCTCTTCCTTCTCTCTTTCTTTTTTTCCTTACTTCCTTCTTTCTTTTGACCTGGTCTCACTTTGTGGCCCAGGCTGCAGTACAGGGGCACAATCATAACTTACTGCAACCTTGAACTCCTGGGCTCAAGCAATCTTCCTACCTCTGCCTCCCAAGTAGCTAGGACTACAGGCATGCCACCAAGCCCAGATAATTAAAAATGTTTTTTTGTAGAGACAGTCTCACTGTGTTCCCATGCTGGTCTTGAACTCCTGGCCTCAAGAAATCCTCCCTCCTGGGCCTCCCAGAGTGCTGGGATTGCAGGTGTGAGCCACCATGCCTGGCCCTCTCTATTTTTTTTTCATGTTTGAGAAACACTGTTTTGGGTCTTTTCCATTGGAATTCAGATGGAGAGAAATCAGATGTATCTTCTCTCTCACAAAAACCCTAACTTCACAATAGTACCAGACTTCTCCAGTTACAGACGTGGTGGACTAGGGTAGCCAAGAACAGCCACAACCTTGGAGAACAAAGATGGCCGAGCTAATAGCACTTCAACACTGCCAGAGCCTCCAGGCTGGCAGCTTCTCCTATGTCATGTCATTCCTAAAGCTTTGAGTGTGGAGATTGTTTTGCCATCCAGTTGACCATTTTATTGCTGGTCTTATTTTCTAGTATTTCTACTGTTGTATTCAGGATGTTTGAGATTTATGGCTCTATGGGATGACATGTTTCCTATTGCTTATGTAACTTAGATGGAAAGTAAGGGTGACTATGCCCTGTGAGATCTAGATGTGATTAATCCTAACTTTCTATTCCCTCCATACTTGGCTCTGGAAAAGACCAGTGCTTCTTCAATGCTTCTGTGAATTTTGGGAGAGCTTATGGGCTCATGGTCACCTCTTGCTCCAAATTCCCACTGATGCAAAGAGTATATATATATATAAAATATATGAAACATATCATATTTATCATATATAATATATAACATATATACATTATATAACATATATCTAACATATATACATTATATATAACATAGTATACACATATATACGTCATATATGTCGTATATATGTATATATATGTATACTCTGTTGCCCAGGCTGGAGTGCAGTGGTGCAATCCTGGCTCACTGCAACCTCCGTCTCCCGGGTTCAAGTGATCCTCCTGCATCAGCCTCCAGAGTTGCTGGGACTACAGGTGCGTGCCACCATGCCCAGCTAATTTTTGCATTTTTGTAGAGATGGGGTTTCACCATGTTGGCCAGGCTGGTCTCATACTTCTGACCTCAAGTGATCCACCCGCCTTGGCCTCCCAAAGTGCTGGGATTACAGGTGTGAGCCACCGCGCTTGGCCAGAGAACATATTTTTCCCTCTGCATCTTGTGGCTGCTGCTTCTTTTATCCTTACTCTGGTCTCTACCTAAACATAGAATTTGCTGTTTTTCTTTATTTCCACTAAAACTCACAAAGCTTTTACTTGTATAGTAAATGTAACCAAAGGTTTAGGGACATTTTGCAGGAGGGAGTGAAATAAAGGGAAGACAGAGGCTTTTACTTCATGCAACACAAATGACTTAAAATCAAATATTCAACATCCCTATTCTTTTTTTTTTGAAAAGGAATTTTGCTCTTGTTGCCCAGGCTGGAGTGCAATGGTGCAATCTCGACTCACTGCAACCTCCACCTCCCAGGTTCAAGTGATTCTCATACCTCAGCCTCCTGAGTAGCTGGGGTTACAGGCGTGTGCCACCATGCCTGGCTAATTTTTTGTATTTTTAGTAGATACGGGGTTTCATCATGTTCGCCAGGCTAGTTGCGAACTCCTGACCTCAGGTGATTCACCCGCCTCAGCCTCCCAAAGTGCTGGGGTTACAGGCATGAGCCACCGCACCTGGCTGACATCCCTATTCTTAAAAGCTTTTTAGCCACACTGTCCTGTTATTTATCACCCACTCCTTTCATTTTTCTCTCCTTCTAACCCCAAACTTCTAGTTCTTTTTCTAACAGAATTGTTCTGCTGTCTCTCTTTTAGCCTTGTCTTTAGAATCTCACCTTGCCCCTAACACAGCATGTCAGGATGTTTTCCCTAATGACATTCTTCCTAGATGCAGTCTGTTGTGAGGAGACTAGGCTGTTGGCTGCCCCATTGTACCTACTAAAGCTGCTCATTTTACATTCCTCCTGTCTGGGAGTAGCACAAATATAAGCTTAGTGTTCACAAGGCACTTTCCCCTACATGAGCCTCTTTGACTGTCAGAGAAGCTCTGAGCGAGGTATCATGTCCATTTTACAGATGAGGGATCAGAAGCTCAGAGAGGTGGAATCATTCAAAGCCATGCAGCCAGGTAAGTGAAGGTGTACAAATGTGCACCCAGGCCTGATGATTTTTCAGATGTAACTCACATCATCACACATAGACAGGATGCGTGCTGTCTGATCACGCAGCAGTCTGAAGTCACATGGATTCCATGACAGGTGATTAACACACAACAACTTAGTTGTCCTTGGTGCAGCCACAGCAGCCCCTGCAGGTGCATGCATTCTACAGAATTGGGCTGCTAGTTCTCTCCCTCTCCCCTCCTCTTCTTTCTCTCTTTTGCTGGCTAGCTTTTACTCATTTTCAGGTCTAGGTATAGGACTGGCTACATAATTTGTGGGCTCCAGTATGAAATTAAAGTGCTAAGCCCTGGGCCGCGTACAGTGGTTCGTGCCTGTAATGCCAGCACTTTGGGATGCTGAGGTGGGAGGACTGCTTGAGCCCAGGTGATCGGGACCAGCCTGGGCAACATAAATTTTTTTAAATATTTTATTTTTTAGAGAGATCTCATCTCTCTAAACAATAAAAAATTAGCCAGGCATGGTGTTGCATGCCTGTAGTACCAGCTACTCGTAGGCTGAGTGGGGAGGATTGCTCGAGCCCAGGAGGTCAAGGCTGCAGTGAGCTGTGATCATGCCACTGTACTCCAGCCTGGACAACAGAGTGAGACATTGTCTCAAAAATAAACAAGTCAATAAAAAATAAAAATAAAATAAAATTCTAAGCCCCCTTTTCAAAAGTTATTTAGAATTTCAAAATAGTTACAGCAGAGCATTAAGTCGAACATGAGGCCCTTTAAAAACTGTATAGGTTGCAAACCCCCAAAACTAGCCCTGTTTGGAGGCTATGGCCCCCAGGAGGCATGTCCATTCTGGAGCAGGTGCTTATCACAGGCTATTGTCATTTCTTCATTAAGCATCTGTCTTCCTATTAGTGTGTGAGCTTCTTGAGACCTATATCCTACTCACTGTTCACCTGGCACCTAGCACAGGCCTTGGCAAAGATCAGGGGCTCGGTGGATGCCCCATTGAGGGTCTGGGGCTCCTGAAGGTGGGACCTGGAGGAACCAGACAGTGAATTGTCATCTCTGGGCAGGACCCACTCAGGACCACGGACAGGGCAGACCAAGTATGATGGAGTTAGCCCCTGGGATTTGCCAGGGGTTTCAGATGTGGGGTGGAGGCAGAGGAGGGACCAATTTTCTCTTCCAGAGAGTGTGTTAATCATTTACTGTCCAGTACCTACAAACCCTGCTCCTCAAGGCTAAGTAAGGGGTGACAAGCTAAGGGGGTAGGGGACAGGCAGGTGACAAGTGCTGGGCACGCAGCTTGGTGCCAGCCCTCCGGCCCTCAGCCTGGCTCCTTGACCCTTCTTTAGCCTCCTGAGGCTTCTTAGCCCCATCTTCCCTTTGGGTATCCTTACCCACCTCCCTGTTCAGCAGCGTGTGTGAGGCCAGGGAAATATCTCCTGCATGTCTCCTTAATACCAGGAGGGTTTCAGACAACAGTGAACCCCTCGTGGAGCCCCTCTGCATCCCACAGATTTCTTTTGGTTCTAAGTGACAGAAACCCAACTCTATGTAAGCAGAAAAGGGTATGTATTAGTTTAAAACCTACAAGCTCAAGGATGGATGTATTTTTAGGTATCACTGGTCCTTGAGCCTAAATGATGCAATGAGAGCTCAGTTTCCCTCTTTTCATTGCTCTCCACGTGGAGGGCAAGATTTCAAACTTCTTAAAAACGGCAGGGGAAAGCTTTGACTGGCTGGGCTTGGTTAATGAGCATATCCCTGAGCCAATCCTGTGTCCAGCAGTGGAAGCAAGGGCGGCCCTCCAGATTTTCTCTCTTCTGCTTTCCCCCAAAAGTAGGGCAGTGCTTTCAGAGGAGCTGCAGGAAGGCAGATGTGGTTGCTGGACAGGCAGAGGTGCTGATGGCCGCCAGTCTGCTTTTTGCAATCTACCCAGTACCACCTCCTCTCCCTGGCACTGGCTTCTAGGCCTGTGGATCCTGATCCTTGTAGAGAAGAAATTGCTGAGCACAGGAAACTGCCTGGAAGGGCAGGCCTCGGCTGGTGCCCCAGGCTTAATGTTTTCAGAAACCTCTCCCCTTCTTCCCTCAGAGTGGACCCCAGTGTTGTCTCCACACCCCAGGGTGAGGAGACCCCCAGGCAGAGCTTTCTAAGAGGGCTTCAACTCCAGAAAGCCTGTCTTTGAGGTTGGGAAACACTCTTTTATTTTTAACTCAGAAATGACCCAGTCATAACAAAAGGAAGACAGAATGCTTTTGAAGAAGAATGAAGAGGAATGAAGTGCACCATTGCTGTCTGGGCTTTTCCTGCTTATGGCCAAGCAAGGCATCACTTCAGTGATGTGACAAGGAGCATCTTCAACACTTGGGTCATTTCTCTCTTTCAGACGTGCTAAGAGGAAAGACCAAATGTTGTCTTGGCTGACTCCATATTTAGTGAGGCTATGTAAAGATTTCTCAGTCTGTGGTAGCTGAGAAATTGCTCTATGGGGCAGCGTCTCACCGCTGTGGTCGTACTACCTATGGCAGAACAGGTGTGGGAAGTGGACTGAGAAGAGCCAAGTCTCAAAACCAGGACATCTGGGTTCCATGCTGGCCCTCTCGTGACCTTCTGGTTGACCTTGGCTCCAGTTGCTGGGCCTCCGTTTCCCCAACTGTACTAGGAGGGGCTGGGTGAGATGACCGCTGCCACCTTTCTCTGCTCTAATTTCTGTGAGTCAGGGTCAGGTAGAGAAGGAAGACCAGCTAAGATTCTGGTTGTTCCTGCCTTTGCCACAGCCTTATTAGGTGGCCTTGGGTACGTATTCTTCATGTTGGGCCTGTTTCCCATCCTTGAACAACCCACATCCCGTAGGATGGCTGTATGAGCAGTGGTGTGGAGCAGCAGGCACAGAGCAGGGGTCTCCTGGGCCAGGATTCAGAGAGCCTGCTCCTTGGGAGCCTCCACGTTGAGGATCCCATGTCCCGGAAAACTCCAGGCTGGGACTAGCCCTCCAGTGGAGTCTGTGAGTCCAGTGCACCCATTTCTAGGACTGCACCCAGTCACATGAACCTCGGGCCTCCCCAGCCTGCTGTGGCCACCTCTGCTTTTACTCTGCCTTCTAGACCCAGCAACCAGTGTGGACAAGCCTCTGTCAAAATGTTCAATTATGAAAAGCCTCGTTGAAGCCCATTCTGAGCTACAGGGAGGAACTGCTGCCCAGTGGAACGTCATGGAAGCAGACATGAGTCCCATCGTCAGGGAGCTCAGGGTCCGGAATGGGGAGGGGACAGCGTGGGCATGTATGCAGTGCTGTAGAGAGGGGGAATGTCCTCAGTCCAGAGCTAGGAAGAGAAGATCCCATTGAAGGGGATCTAGTCGGAGCTGCCGGCTGAGGCTCAGCACCCTGGAGAAGTAAAACAGACTTTGGGGTGGCTCCATAGGCTCCGGGGGGTGGGATGATGAGGCTAGAAAGGAGCATGGGGCCAAATCTCGACAGGCTGGCAAGGCCCCGAAGGGGAGTTGGGGCTGGAGAGGTTGTGGGTTTTCCATATTATTTAAGAATCTTGGGATTGCAAGTGATGGGAACCCAACTTGAACTAACCTCGGCAAAAAGGGCAATGTATCAGAAGAACAGAGAATCCAAGGAAGTCCTGAACAACTGAGCAGGTGAGGAGGGCCCAGAGTGCCTTCAAACCTCCTGAAAACAGCTGGCAGAAACCCTGGGAAGTGCTCTGATTGGCTGGTCCTGGATAATGAGCATATTCCTGAACCAATCACTGTGTCCGGGGGTGGGAGCAAGGATGGTGGGAGCAAGATTCCCTTCCAATAGGTCCCCTTCCTTACCCCAAAATCAGGGCTGTGCTTTCAGAGGAGCGCAGGAAGGGACCGCTAACCAGGTACTCAGACACCATCAGAACTCAGCTGTTGGTCCTGATTGTCTCTCTGTTGGCTCCATTTTTTTTTTTTTCTGTTTCATCGCAGACTAAATTTCTCTACATGGAGGAATCCTGAGGAAGTGATTTACCGGCCCAGCCTAGGTCAAATTCCCACCCTCGAATTAATCAGCTGTGGCCAGAAGTTGGGGTCACCTGGTAACAGGGCTGCTTTGCCGCTGTCAGCAGGAGGCTGGGATGGGCAGTTTATGAAGGAAGGGACAATGCTGAGCAGGCAACCCCAGAATTGTCCCCTGAGTTTCTAAGCGGAGGAATATGGCCCGATCTGACCTGCATTTTGGGATGAGTAGGCATTAAAGACGACAGGTTTTTTCCTTTTATTCATAAAAACAAATTTGCAACAATTTATTAAAAATCGATACCATGCAGTAGGGGTACGAGAAATTCCTCATTTACATTTGATTCTGGCAGTTCCAGTCTAATTTAAAGCGTTTTGTGCACTAACATCATTGGAAAATGCCTTCAGGCCGAAGCCTCTTCAGAAATGGACGGTGTGTTTGCTGCATATAAAAGAACAGAACCATTAAGTAGCTAGAGTCACTTCTGTGGGTCTTGTTATTTGCGAGGAAATTAAAAAAAAATGGGTGAACCTACAGTATCAGTAAGACAGAGAATGTACTTCGTGAGTTAACCTAGAAGACAGCGCACGCTCAGGAGTCACAAAGGGTTACAGACGCACAGGCTCACCTCCGACAGTCCAATACTTTTGTTTGTTTTCCTGCTATGCTGGAATAATATTTCTACAGGTATTTTTTTTTGTGTGTGTGTATACATTATGTACAATTAATTGTCTCTTTCCCTTTGAAAAATTAATGTGGTCCTTTAAATTAAATTTGGTTTTGGTGAAATCAAGAAAGCAAGTAAATACTGGTAATACACAGTGAGTGACAACACCGATTTTTAGTGCCTAAACAGAGAATGACTTCAACTTGACCTGTGATGTGTTAACATTTTTTTTTCCCTAAAAGCTACAGTACCTCCATAACCTCTCTTTGGGGAAGGGGAGCAGAAAGCTATGCTACGTGAAATAGGGTGCTTTGAAATGTTGGCATTGGTAAGATTCCTGTGGGCCCTTTTGTCAAAGCCTGGTGGAGAAAACAGTTTATTCCTGACTGCAGTGGTTCTGGGAAGAGATTATTGCCTGCCTGTTGAAGCTGCCAATAGGTTTCTTTAGGGAGTGAGCGAGCTGCTCAGTTGTGCAGACATCCTGGACATTGTCATTCAGGCCTTTCTTGAGCAAAGAATGAACCTGTCTAGGAATGTCAGAAAAGTCACTGGGAGCCTCCCTCCAGCCCGGATGTTCTGGGTAGAGGGCTGTGCTGGAAGCTTCTCTGGGCCACACCCCCGGCTGTAGGGAGGGCTGAAGGTCAGAGTCATACTCATACCTCACGGATCAGGGCGGCTTCACTGTTTGGTACAAAGCTTTCCTGGACAAGATCAAGTTTCAATCCTCAGAGTGACCTTGTGAGGTAGGCAGGACAGGTGTTTTAGTTCAACCCCAAGTTACAGAGGGGAAACTGAGGCTCAGAGAGACACTAGTGACCTGATCAAAGTCACGTAGGGAGTGGGCAGGGGACTGAGGACTTGAACCCAGGTCTGTCTGACTCCCAGGCCAGTGCTCTTAGGGGCTCAATTTAAAGGGAGGAATGATCTTATGAATGAGAATCAATCTGCTGACTGATCACCCCAGTGATCCCAAGGGGAGAGCTCACTGGCTTGTCTGGATGGAAGGCTGCCTTCTGGAAGCCAAGGGAAGCCCTCAGCCAGCAACTCTCTCCCCTATGTCTACGGGGATGTCTTTTAGCAGAGTGCCTCCAATTCACTTTGGTCAGAAACAAAGTTAGTGGGAAAAAAAAAAAAAAAATCCCAGCCAGCCCTTGGGCCCTGATGAGAGAGGTTAAAGTGCACAATCTTTCTTTATCGTGTTTGCTGGGAACAGACATTCCATGATTAGCTCGGGTGGTCCCCCTGGTTACTGGGAGCATCCGATAGGAACACAAGGACATGGCCAACGTGGTGGGTGCATGACAGACTGTCGGTGAATGCTGCAGAGCGTGTCTGCAGTGACGTGCCCTAAATCCCCACGGTCCCAGGAATGGGTGTTATTGTGTTAACGTGTGGCATTTACCAGAGTAACAAACATCTCATTGGGTGACACAGGTCCCATGTGGAGCATGTAAGTCAGCCTGCTCCAGTGCCGCAGCCCTCGGCCTGCCTGCTCCAGGGCTGTGCCTGTCTGCGCTCCTGCAGACTCCCTGTTCCAGGAAGGCTGGGGTCAGCTGGCCTGGCAGCTGGGGGCCTGGTGGCCCTTCCCACCTCCTCCCCCAGAGTGGAGAAGGGCTAGCCTGAGGGGTCACAGCCAGTGATGTGTGTGCAGAGGCAGTTTCTTCAGAAGCTCCTTGCCTCTTCCCAAGGCTGCTCGAGCCACTCCGTGACTTCCAGCTGGAGTTCTAGTGCCTCTCTCCTTGTCTAGTTTTTTTGTTTTTTTTTTTTTTTTTTTTTTTTTGCAAGTTTGATATCCCAGCGCCTCCTTGTTTGCAGATGTTAAGGAAGACGTCCCATTTCCGTTCCTCTTCTTTGTGAAGAAATAAGGACTTCACAAATAAGGCTCGAGGTCAGGTGCCAAGTCTCCCCCTGCCCCGTCCTGTCCACCTGAGTGCCATCCGAGTGGTCCTGAGAGGCCAGCCATGGTGCCCAGCTTCTCCGCAGCCAGAGCCGACAGTGTTTCTGCAGCAGACCCCTCTGCCCAGTGTGGTTCTGTCACGGGGGAGGCCCCGGGCCCAGGCCTCCCACCCTTACAGGCCCGAGACCATGACTCGGAAGGAGGGTGGCACATGTCTGTGGCGGGGGCTGGCGGTGGGGCTGACGCAGGGGCTGACACAGCTGGCGTCCACGCCTCCGATGGATGGGAGGTAGGCGTGGTGGAGGATGGGGAGCTGGAGGGACAGCCGACGCTGGATGCTGAAGAGAAGGAGAGGGAGGAGTGTTAGTGAAGGGTAGCTGGGCGCTTACCAGAAAGTTCCTTGGACTTGCTTTGGCTAAAAAAGCTGATGACAGGAGCATATTTTTCTCTGAATCCAAGATCTGTCCATCCAATCATCTAACCATTCAGCAATCCAGCAGGTATTTAATGAGGGCCCATATGTACCAGCTACTGCCCTGGGAATGACCAGGGAGACTTGAATAAACAAGGGAGATGAATTTTCTCGAGCTTTGGGCCAGGATTTGGTGGTTATTATAAATACCCTAGCAGAAAAGATGCTCCTTGACTTACGATGGGGTTACATTCCCATAAACCCATTGTAAGTTGAAAATATCGTAAGTTGAAAAATGCATTTAATCCACCTAACCTACCAAATATCCTAGCTGAGCCTCGCCTACCTTAAATGTGCTCAGAACACTTACAGTTGGGCCATATCATCTAACACAAGGCCTATTTTATAAAAAAGTGTTAAATATCTCATGCAATTTACTGAATACTGTACTGAATGTGTATCACTTTCACACCATTGTAAATTTGAAAAATGGTAAGTTGGGGACTGTCTGTATTACTAAGGACAAAGCTTTGCCTTTCTATCAGGGCTTTGCTGCAAACCAGATAGTTCGCATTCTCTACTCTTGCAAACCTCCACAGGGCTTTCAGTTTCATCCCTGAAAGACTTCTCGCCTGCTCCATCCTTCCTCTCTCCCGTCTGCCTCTGCTTTGCCCAGGACCGCATCTCTTCTTGCTGGGCCAATTCCCACAGGCTCTTCCAGCTTCTTTGGTAACTAGTGTTATCTTTCCAACACTAGGAAGCCAAGGAAGGGAAAAAAAGGGACACTGATGTGATATTTGGGGCCCCCTAAGTTCCATCTTTGGATCAGAATTTTCCAGGTGAATCTTCCATCCTTTCCACCTGTAAGCCCTGCCCTCTGGCAGCCAGTTTCCCTGGAAACCCTGCTCCTGGGTGCTCTTCTGCTGTTTCCCTGTCTGGAAGACTCTTTCTCTGCTTCCTGACATGATGAACTGTGTCTCCTTCAAGATCCAGTTTAAATATCACCTTGTTTGTGCTCACTCTCTGCTAGGAGAACCCTTCCTCTGCTAAGCAGAACCCTAGGTAAATACTCAGAAATGAAGCCAGAAAAAGCTGGAGGCAAGATGGAGCTGGGTGTGGGTTAGCACGTGATGGAGGAGCAGCAAGGGAAAAGGGAGCTGCCCTCTGACTCCCTTCTCATTGCCACACCCTTCTGGTCTTAATGACTGTCATGTCACTTTGTTGAAAAGGCTGCTTGCGGCAAATGTGCCCAGGTGACTGCTCCTCTGCTCGGCTCAGCTGCATTCTTGCACAGTTCTCCATGGGTGCAACTTTCACACCGCATTCCTTGAGAGAAGGGACTGAGTTCTTATGCCTTCTTGTGTTCCCAGTGCCTGGCCACTCACGTGCAAAAAAGCGAAAAACAAAAACCCCAGAGCTTAACAGACACCCAATAGGCAAAAGAAATACTGCTATTCCCATTATAAAGAAGAGGGAAGAGTACAGAGTTCAGGTAACTTCCCCATGGAAACAAAACCAGAACTGGGGAAGCTGGAATTCTTGCTGCTTCTGTTCAACCACATTGTTTTGTGGTGGAGGCGAATCAACTCATGGGGGCAGCCTTATCCCAACTGGGTGTGCCCTTGGGGTTCATTTAGGTCACTGGTGGGTTCTGAGATAGATGGGTACAGACGAAGTGCTGCCCACACTTTCCAGAAAGATTCCTCCCAAGAGACACCTCACAGGTGTGCATGGAACTACAGTGTTGGAGATCTCATTCTGAAGTTAAAGTTGGACCTGTATAATGTCAGCTGAAGTCTGTGTCTTAAGGCAAGATCATGCTGGCAAGAAGTCCAGGACAAAAAGGGAAGAATAAACTGTGACCTGGGAAAAGGGTGTCCTGTCCAAGCACCCAGGGCAGGGCTATCTGCCTAGGCAAGGTGGGTCCTGTGGTTGTCAGAGCATTCTTCTGTCTGTTAGGATCCTGTTCACCTTTCATTCATTCAACAAATGCTTGTCAAGAACCTATTCACTGGCAGAACCTGTGTTCGGTGCAGGGGACACATGAAGGACTCATAACTTACTCTCAAGGTGCTTACACTCTACTGGAGGCAACTGCTAGGCAAACTGCTGACAAATTCCATGTAACTCTCACTCACTGTCCTGGACTGTAAGCTGGCCAGGCCTTGGAGCTAGTTGGGTTGACAGGCCCTTAGCTCTAATACTAAAGAGCCCCAAATGATGCTGCAATTGGTGATTTGGCTGCTTTTGCTGGTTCCTCATTGCTTGTCACTTCCAGAGGCCAAGTTTCAAAGTTTGTATTTCCAGCTTCTGCTTCCAATGTGCTATAAGATGGGAAGGCCTAAAATTGCCTGTGGGAACAAAGCTAACAGAGATGTTCAGGTCTTTGCTTTGATGTCACCATCTCATTGAGTCTTCTCTGACCACCCTATTTAAAATGACACTCCCTGACCCCCTTCTGTGCTTTTCCTCCAAAGCTCCTATTGTTTGACATGCCACTTCTTGCTTTTTAATTAAGCTATCAGCCTCCTAGATAGAATGGAAGCTCTATGAAGATAGGAATTTTAGTCCGTTTTCTTCACCGCTGTAACCCTAGCACCTATGCCTGACATACAGGAGGTCTCAGTAAACTGTTAAGTAAATGCATTTAGCAAGGTTAAATTTTACACATAACAAAGGCAGCGTCTTGTGGTAGACAACATGGGATTTGATGTTGGAAAGATGTGAGTTCAAGTCCTACTTCCTGCATGTAGCAATTGAGTGACCTTTGGCAAGTCACCTCCCCTTTTTGAATATTAGTTTTTCATCTGTAAAAAGAGCACTGTAATTGGACTGCATCATGGGATGGCTGTGGAAAGCAAATAAAATAATGGATGTGAAAACATCGTGCAAATTGCAAACTCTTGTGCAGGAGTGACGTATTTCTTCTTCAGTTATAATTCTCAAGGAGAAGGTACTTACTGTTCTGGAGAGTTTATATCTTCTATAGGATCTTTGCATGTTCGAGAGGGCTCTGTTGTGTTCCACTGTAGCTGGGGATTTTGATCGAGGTGATTTTTTAAAATGGCCTTTCCTCCATCTGAATGCAAAACAACAATACCACAACATGTTCGGTTAACTTAGTTTTTAAAAATCAACAATGCAACTTTTTGTAGGATGATGCCCCAAGAGACAGAATGCAAAAGAGCCCATTATCCCTCTGTGTTCTCTAAGCTGAGGTCTGTGTAGTGGCTCTCCCGGGACCAAGGCGGTGAGCTGAGAAGCCTCCAGCAGTCAGGGATGGAAGCAATGTGCTGGGGATGTGTGTGGCATGCCCCACGCTCTCCTTTCCAAGAACAAAAAGGGGAAAATCAAGTCGACTAATGTAGGAAACATAACTTAGAAACAAGAGGTTCTAACATTCTTTTTCACAGGCACATAGGGATGTAAGACAAAGAAAAAACCTCCAAGGTATATTTTTCATAGAGCAGCAAAGATTGCAAAGAAAAAGAATAGTCAGTAAACTGCTGGTGGGAGAATAAATGGACATAATCTTACTGGGGGCACTGCTGATCTGTGTCAAACACCATAAAAGGACCTATTTTTTACCCGGAATTTCCACTTCTCGAAATTATCCTAAGGAAATAATTAAGGATCTGTGCAAAGATATATACAAGATGTTCAACCTCGGCATCTTTTTTTTTTTTTTCTGTCACTCAGATCGTGCCACCAGTGGCATTATCTTGGCTCACTGCAACTTCCACCTCCCAGGTTCAAGCAATTCTCCTGTGTCAGCTCCAAGCAGCTAGGACTACAGGCGCATGCCACCATGCCCAGCTAATTTTTTGTATTTGTAGTAGAGATGGGGTTTCACCATATTGGTCAGGGTGGTCTCGAACTCCTGACCTCAGGTGATCCAACTGCCTTAGTCTCCCAAAGTGCTAGGATTACAGGTGTGAGCCGCTGCGCCCAGCCACAACCTCAGCATCATTTATAATATTAAAATGTTGGAACTCATCTGAATTTGGTAATAATGGATTAGTTACAGAAGTTATAGGACCTCCATTCAAAATAATATTGTGTAGCCACAAAATATGTGATTCAAATTCTCTCAACTCTCTCTGTGCTTCAGGACCATACAAGGAGATTTAAAGAAATATAAAAATCAGGTTCCCACCCGAGATTTGGATTCATGTGGTCTGGAGGGGTCTTTGTTTTTGCTCCAGTGGGCAACCTTATATGTATGTCATTTTGCACCTACGTGTGTACAGTTGATCCTCATTATTCATGAATTTTGTATTTGCGAACTCTTCTTCTGACTAAAATTTATTTGTAATCCCCAAATCAATATTTCAATGCTTTTGTGGTCATTTGCTGACATGCACGGTGTGGGAAAATGTGAGTTGCATGATGCACGTGTTCCCAGCTGAGGTTGAGCAAGGTGATGCACTGCCTTAGCGCTTAGCTTTTATATTGTAAATAAGTATCTTCCTGAAGGTTATTTAGTGACATGTTTTTCACATTTTGTGCTGTGTGTTGGTGAGTTTGCTGTTTAAAATGGCCCCCAAGCACAGCGCTGAAGTGCTGGCTAGTGTCCCTAAGCACAAGAGGGCTGTGATGTGCCTTATGGAGAGAAAATACATGAGTTAGATAAGCTTCCATCAGGCATGAGCTATAGTGCTGTTGGCTGTGAGTGCAATGCTAATTAAACCATATATATTAAATGAGATGTCTTTTTTTTTGAGACGGAGTCTCACTCTGTCTCCAGGAGGAGTGCCGTGGTGCCATCTTGGGCTCACTGCAACCTCCGCCTCCCAGGTTCATGTGATTCTCCTGCCTCAGCCTCCCAAGTAGCTGGGACTACAGGCACGTGCTACCATGCCCGGCTAATTTTTGTATTTTCAGTGGAGACAGGGTTTCACCATGTTGGCCAGGATGGTCTCGATCTCTTGACCTCGTGATCCGCCCACTTTGGCCTCCCAAAGTGCTGGGATTACAGGCTTGAGCCACTGTGCTCAGCCTAAATAAGATGTCTTTAAAGAGAAACATGCATACAACAAAATTATATATTGATTGGTGGACAAAAATGTCAGCTTGTGATGTCAGCCTGTGAGAGATTCCCAGGAACTAATCCTGTATAGGAGCAATGGTTCAGTATTCACAATCCACTGTTGATGGAGGCTTTACAGAAAGAACATAACTACCGCTACGGTGAATCAGCAGAATCGACTGTATATCCATACTGCTATGGTCTGAATGTGTCCCCCCAAATTCATGTGTTGAAACTGAATGACCAATGTGATAGTGTAAGAGGTGGGGCCTTTAGGAGGTAATTAAGTCGTGAAGGCGGAGCCCGCATGGATGAGGTTAGGGCCCTTACAAAAGGGCTTGAGAAAGTGGGTTTACCCCTTCCACTCCTTCTGCCACATGAAGATGTAGAGTTCCTCCCCTCCAGAGGATGCAGCAATCCAGGTGCCATCTCAGAAGTGGAGGCTGGACCCTCCTCAGACACTGAACCTACTGGCACCTTGATTTAGGACTCCCCAGCCTCCAGAACTGTAAGAAATACATTTCTGTTGTTTATAAATTACCAAGTCTGCAGTATTGTGTTACAGCAGCACAAACAGACTAAGGCATGGAGAACAAATCCCAAAAGTGGGATTGCTGGGTCTGAATGATTTCTGTTTCAACCAGCAGCATTTGAGAATGCCTCTCTTATAACCTGTTGCCTGGCACTCTGAGCAGCTTTTTGATCTCTGATCTTCGCCAGTCTTTGAGGCAAAAATGGTATCTCATTGCAGATTTAATTTGCATTCCTTTAATAAGGAATGAGATTGATCATCTTTTCATAAGTGTAAGAACAATTTCCAGTTCCTTTTATGAGAACTCTCTTTTGCTCATTTTTCTTTTGAGATGTTGGTCTTTTTCTTACTAATTGGTATATAATTATACATACTTTTTGTATTGTTACACATCATTTCTCCTTATATATAAGGGCATAAGCTTGTTATCTGAGTTAATTTTTGGCTTTGTTTGATTTTTTTGACTGTACTTATCATGGCTTTTGCATTATGAAAGAAATTCTTTTTGTACCTAAATTTATCAACCTTTCCTTTTGTGATTTCTGTTTTGCATCAAACTGAGACAGGTCCTCCACTCTCTGAGATTATTTTTTAAAAATTTTACTTTGGTTTCTTCTAGTACTTTCATGTTTTCATTTTTTATATTTAAATATTTTATTCATTGGAATTAATTTTTGTGTAGGTGTGAGTTTAGGATCTACCTTATTCTCCTCCAGATGCCTACCCATTTATCCCAATGAAATTTATTGAATAATTCATTTTTCCCACAAATTTAAAATGCCCACTTTTACCAGATACGAAAGTTATTAGAAGTAATTTTTATTCTTGTAATTTCCTTGTTATCTCAATTTAAACGTTTTTGCAATAACCATGTTATATAATATTAATTATAGAATATTGCTACTGTAATAAGACCACTTACTACTTATATAATCAGAATAAAAGGCCAGGCATGGTGGCTTATGCCTGTAATCCCAGTACTTTGGGAGGCTGAGGTGGGTGGATCACCTGAGGTCAGGAGTTCGAGACCAGCCTGGCCAACATGGTGAAACCCCGTCTCTACTAAAAGTACACAAAAATTAGCTGGGTGCAGTGGCAGGCACCTGTAATCCCAGCTACTCAGGAGGCTGAGGCAGAAGAATTGCTTGAACTTGGGAGGTGGAGGTTGCAGTGAGCCGAGATCGTGCCATTGCACTCCAGCCTGGGCAACAAGAGCGAAACCCCGTCTCAAAAAAATAAAAAATAAATAAATAAAATAAAGATTTTTCATTGATTTAAAATAATATTATAACAAATTGATGAATACATGCTAATGGAAAAATCCAAGCCATAGAGAAATACAAAAAAGGTAATGTGGCCAGGCGTGGTGGCTCATGCCTATAATCCCAGCACTTTGGGAGGCTGAGGCAGGCGAATCACTTGAGGTCAGGAGTTCCAGACCAGCCTGGCCAACATGGTGAAACCCTGTCTCTACTAAAAAAAAAAAAAAATTAGCTGGGTGTGGTGGTGGGCACCTGTAATCCCAGCTACTAAGGAGGCTGAGGTAGGAGAATTGCTTGAACAATTCTCCAGTGAGAATTCTCCAGTGAGAAGGTTGCAGTGAGCTGGAATCATGCCACTGCACTCCAGCCTGGGTGACAGAGTGAGACTCCATCTTAAAAAAAAAAAAAAAAAAGTAATGTAAAATAGTCCCTTCTCACTCACTTTCCACAATACCATTTCTTTTCACACGAGTGAATACTGTTAGCAATTTGGTGTTTGTTTTTCTAAACCTTTTAAAAAATGCATTCACACACACATGTATGCATTTGTGTGTCCCATAATCATAATGTTGGCTTTCATCTTGCTTTTTTCACCTGGAGATCTTTCCATATCTGCACAAGTAGACCCACCTCACTTTTTAATAGCTATAAAATGTGCCATGTTTTGCTATATCTTAATTAATGAAACCACCCCCAAATAATGAACATTTAAGTTAACTGCAGTTTTTCTCACCTACAGACAGCACTGTGATGAACATCTCTGTGTTCATCTCTGCACACCTGGGAGTATTTGCAAGGGGCAGGTTCCTGCTAGTAGAACTGCCAGGTCAAGAGGTTTAACATGGAGCATTTAGACAGTGCTAGACTGACTTCTAATGCATTGCAGGAGAATGCTCATTTCCAAATACTCTTACCAACTCTGGTAACCTTTAAAATTTTTTTTCTAAAAGGTAGGCAAAAATGGTTTGTGGTTTTTTTTAAATTTATTTTTGTAGAGATGGGGTCTTGCTATGCTGTCCAGGCTGATCTCAAATTCCTGGACTCAAAGAGATTCTCTAGCCTTGGCCTCCCAAAATGCTGGGATTACAGGCATGAGCCATTGCACCTGGCAGGTTTGTGTTATTGTAGCTTGCAATTCCCAAGTGGGTGGTGAGATTAAGCATTCTATCATAACTAACTGACCATTCTTTTCTTGCACATTGATGAGGTGTGTTTGAAACTGTGAAATATCGTTCAGAGAAGAAAGGGTAAACTATTCGCTAAGAACAAAAGGGAAAATAAAATGTGCCTGCCCCCAGTCAGGACACTGGGAATGCTGGCCCCACTGTGTAGGTGTGGAACTGCAAGCCGAGGGATGAGAAATCGAAGACCCAGGCCCAGGCAGGGTGGGGCTCAAAGCGGACACTGAACTGTGGTCAGCAGACAGAGGTTCCAGATGCTCCAGCTCTGTGTGTGTGACTTCATACCAGTCCTGTGCCCTGTCTGAGCCTCAGTTTCTTCATCTAAAAAATGGAAGATGAACAGCTGGTGTTTGAAACCAAGGTCCCTACCACATTCTGGGGCCCTGGCTCTCTTACCTGTGCTCTCAGTGAAGTTTCCCAGGTTGAGGATGTCATTGAGCTCTTGGTAGTGGTTCTGTTTAATGTAGGTGGTCTTTTCTGGTGTGTCCTGCAGCTGCATGGTGACCTCTTCCAAGTCTTTATCCAGCTACAAGACAAAGGTTCCAGTTGAGTCAGGTCCCTGGCCCAGCCCTGGCAGCTAGGCCACTAGGGCCAAAAGGTAGCTCACAGGGCTGGGCCTTTACCTGTATTCAGGAGTGCCCTGAGAATCAGAGGGGTTACTGCATTTTGGTGAGGAGATGCAGAAGGATCCTGGCGGCTCTTTGTTCAAGGAGAAGCTATGATAAGAGGGACCTGGGCTTTGCAATTATGTGTTCAGTGTAGGCTTGGGCCTTGATGAAGCAGACAAGCAAGCTCAGGGAGGAAGGGCAGGGAGAGCATACGAGCTAAGGCTCTGGACAGGACTTATGCAAACCCAAGGCTGCCCCTTACTTGCAGTGATGTTCTTCTGGCTTGTGAGAACCCAGTCTCAATTTCTTTTTCTGTAGAATGGGGTAATAATAGTACCTACCTCAGGGGGAGGTTGTGCAGATCAAACAAGATAATACATGGAAAGTTTAGCCCAGTGTCTGAAACATAATAAGGGCAACTTGCTACTATAATAATATTACTATTATTACAGGGTCTCACTCTGTCACCCAGATTAGAGTGCAGTGGTGCAATTATAGCTTACTGCAACCTTGATCTCCTAGGCTCAAGCAATCCTCCTGTCTCACCCTCCTGAGTAGCTGGGACTACACGTGCATGCTACCATGTCTGGCTAATTTTTTTTTTTTTTGGTAGAGATGGGGTCTCTCTATGTTCCTCAGGCTGGTCTTGAACTCCTGAGCTCAAGCAATCCTCCCACTTTGGCCTCCCAAAGTGCTGGGTTTACAGGCATGAACTACTGTGCCTGGCCTTATAATTACTATTACTGATACTTAATAGGACCCACAGTGGAGGACAGACATGCAGGGCTCGCGAGCTCTGAGCCTCACACTATCATGGAGACTCTGACCTGCAGGGTCTCACTCAGAGGAGTTAATCAGGATGGGTCCCAGTCATCCCCACGTTTTTATTTTTAGAGACAAGTCTTCTCTATGTTGCCCAGGCCGGTCTTGAACTCCTGGGCTCGAGCGATCCTCCCACTTTGTCCTCCCAAAGCGTTGGGATTACAGGTGTGAGCCACAGCACCTGGCCCATTCCCAGGTTATACAAAAATCAGGTGCAAGTCCTGGGGGCAATTCAGCCCCAGAGAAGCCTGGGCAATATGAGTGTTGGTAGTTGTTGGGGGTGGTAGTCGGGATGGGTGTTGAACATCTGTGATATTACCATATCTGTATAATAGAATGGCTTTCATCCATGATTCCTGGCTGCTATATCTCTTGTAAGAGTCTTTTGTTATAATGTTGGGGCATTTTAGGCCTCAGGAGCGGGCCTCATGAAACAGAATCACTCTCTCTGACCTTCTCCTGTCCTTTCTCACCTGCTCAAGGCAGGACTGTAATCTGATGTAGGTCAAAAGACCTTTATCACAGAGAGAAAGTCTTGCCCCATACCCTGGAGGAAGGAATGCTACAGAGAGGCCAAGAAAATTCTGAGCAGAAAGGCCTTGCTGGGTTTAGATCATGCATTTTTGTCCAATCACATTTCTACACAGTTGTCAGTCATGCCTCGTGTAATGAAGCCTCCATAAAAACTCAAAAGAACAGGGTATGAAGATCTTCTGGGTAGCTGAACACGTGAAGGTTCCTGGAGCATGGGGCCCAGGGAGGCAGGGAAGCTCCACACCCCTTCACCCGTCCTCGCTCTGTGCATCTCTTCATTCATGTCCTTGGTAATAAGCTGGTAAATGTGTTTCCCTGGGTTCCGTGAGCCCCTCTAGCAAATTAATTCAACCCAAAGCAGGATCCTGGGAGTCCCAACTTGAAGCTGGCTGGTCAGAAGTTCCAGAGGCCTGACTTATGACTGGTATCTGAGGGTAGGGTGGGGGTCAGGGGGAGCCTTGGGGACTGAGCCCTCAACCTGTGGGATCTGAAGCTATCTCTAGATATGTAGCATTGGATTTGAACTGGAGGCACCCAGCGGGTGCCTGCTGCTCGTTGGTGGGGAAAACCCCACACACATTTGGTCACAGAAGTCTTCTGCGTTGACTGTTGTGTTGGTGCAAGAGCACAGGAAAAACATGGTTAGAGGATTTTTCCAAACAGCATCCTGCTGTAGTATAAGGGAGGAGACCTGATAAACTATCAGAGGCTGTTCTGATGTCAGGAACACAGCCATGAAATTGTTTAACACGTTTTCATGTGGAGGAGGAGGGAAAGAGATACTCTTTTCTATGTGACTTAAATGGCAGGAGTAGGATCAAAGGGTGGGGACAACAGGAGGCCAGATTGTGATTCATTTCCGGGAAAAATAACACAACATTTAAGAGTTTTAAATAGTGGCCTGGGTTTCCTAATGTGACTGAACTCTTCATTGCTGAAGTGTGCAAGTAGAAGTGAAATGCAGTGACATGGTCGTACTCATCAGGAGAGGTCTGATATTGAAACAGAGCCTGTAATGGGCTTTGGGGGACAGAAACCCTTCTTAGTTTGCTCTGGCAGCTGATGGTGGGTTACCTCATCCTAAAGCAGTCATCTTTAGGTGCACAGACAACTGTATGGTGGCTCTCTGTGGCAGAATTCTGTGAGCCCCCCAAAGGGCGGCCAGATCTAGCAAATAAAAATCCAGAATGTCCAGTCAAATTTGAGTTTCAGATAATGGGTTCTTTTTTAGTATAAGTATATTCAAGTATTACTTGGGCTAAACTTTTACTGAAAATATGATTGGTTGTTGATCTGAAGTCTGAATTTAACTGGGCATCCCATATCTAATCTGGCAACCCTATGTCTCACTTCTTCCTTGCAGCTGTCCAGCTAGAGACGACGTTTCCCAGCCTCTCCTCTCACTAGGTGTGCTCATGTCAGTTTTTGTTGATGTGACTAGGGCAGAACCAAAATATGCACAATTTTTGGTGTTACTGCTTAAAAGGCAATCCCTCATGTGGACTTTCTATCTCTTCCCCTCCTGACACTGTGAACAGGACATGCTGTCCACCCAGCTCTCCCGCTATGAATGAAGAGAACACCCTGGAGAGTGGGGAAAACCAGAGGGCAGGAACCAAGCCCAGCAATGACCTTGGGGAGCAGAGCTGCCCCAACCGGGCCCTCTCTTTTCACGGCCATTAGGTAAAAGGGAAATAAACATATTTTCTCTGGGCCACTTTATTTTGGGGCCTTGTTTAGCCAGCATTGTAACCAATGTACTTTCCTTGGTCCCTTTCCTGTCCCCCTCCCTAATCAGAATTCCTCTATTAAAGCAACACACAGCCTGCAGAGCACGGGTTCAGGCATACCTCCAACCCAAAGGGAGGGGTAGAGGAGGGGAGGTAATTTGTTTTCCCTTCCCTGGTCTACAAGCCAAGCCTGGCTTGGGCACAAGGCAATCTGGCTATGGTCTCTCTGGAATATTCAAGAACCAGTTGAGAACCCTCAGGACAAAGGCGAGGTCTGCTGCAGCACTCTCTCTTGAAAAGTTTCTTTTCACTTTCTCTTCTCTTGTACATCACATAGATGTGGTGGTTGCTGGGTTGTGCTGGGAGAGTGAAAAACTGAGAGGGAGAGAGACACAGATAAAGAGACACTGACGTAGGAAGCTATGATAATCCAGAAGCTCACAAATCTCCCTGAGTTCCTTTCTGTCTGGGGATGGCTTGAATCAGGTGTTGCTGGCCTCCAAGAGCCTGGGTGAGGTGGGCAATAAGCTCATGTTGGATTCTGACAAATGCCTCTGTGTGGTTTATGTCACCCCTGGCTCTCGCAGCTGCAACTGCAGCTGATGAGACTGCACGGTCATGCTGCAGGGATGGTCTAGAGGAGCCTGAGAGTCCCCGCACAGGGTTAGAGGGGCTTCAGTGGCAGACAGGGCCCAGCTACCAGATGCAGAGGGAGGTACCTCTGTGATCTTCATTCGCAGGCGATGGTTTTCTGACTGTAGGCCCTCCAGGCGGGATGTGCTGGCTTGGTTCACACTGGTGACCGAGGTGGACGTTTTAGAATCTTCTTTCTTCTGATTCTGAGTGAACTGGAATCGCCTGTTCTGCGTTGCTGCATCTGGGTTTGTTCTCAGGGTGATGAGCTGAAAGGACAAAGGTTGGGGCGGGGTTGAAGAGAGAGCCTTGAGTCCTTCCTCCCATCCCACATGGCAGACTCTCCCAGCAGATCCTGCTCTGGAGGCGATAAGAGGCCCCAGGAAAGCCACAGGCTGGGAGTCAGGAGACCTAGGCTCAGGCCAGACTCTGCTACTCGCTTGTGTGTGACCTGGGGCAGGCCCCCTCCCCTCACCAAGCCTCCATGTCCTTCCTGGTCACTAAGAGTCTAGTCTCCTGACCCTGATGCCACCTGCATCCCAACCAGGGCCCCCGAGGCCTCACTCCAGCTGCCTAGCACGCTGCCTTAGGCCTTGCTCCTTGTGGAAAAAATAAGCCCCGAGGGCAACAGTTGTGACAACAAAGAGACAGAGGAGAGCGAAGGCCTCTGTTAAACCATTGATGAGTTCTGGAAGCAGGCTAGTAACAAGCTCTGTCACTGACAAAAGCTTGTTTTTTAGCAGCTTAAAACAACACATGGTTATTATCTCACAGTTTCCGTGAGTCAGGGGTCTGGGCATTGCTTAGCTACATCCAAAACATTTTGTATAGAAAACAAAAAGTTGCCACTTGACCCTTACCCGCTTATTCTAGAAACATCTCCGGTCGAAGCAGGCTCTGGGCTCAGCTCTGGAAAGCAGGAGCTGAGTGACCCATGGCCCCTGCCCATTGGGACTTCATGGTCCAGAGGCGTGGGATGGGGATGAAGGAAGGACTCAATCTTCACCAGGCCAGCGGGTATCAGGGACAGCCTACCACAGTGCCATGGCCTGCTGGGCTTTGAGGGCGGTCTGGAGGGATGGTGGGGGGAAGGGAACTCCAAGGGAAGAACTGGTGTCTGGCAACGCAGGGAGGCCTGGGGTAAATGGAAGGGGAAGGGCAGGCTGGGTGGTGGACAGGGTTCTCTGGGGAGACTAGAGGAGACCCAAGGGTCCTGAGAGCCAGCCCAACATCAGAAACCTGATCCTAGAGCCAGGAGGACAATGGGGAGCTATTGGGCGTAACAGAGCAGAGTGCCGCAATTGAAGCTTGGCTTAGAGAATCATCTGGCCTCTTTTACAGGATGGAAAGAATGTCAGAGTGCAGGCAGAGAAGTCACGGTGTTGCCCTTTAGGCTGGGCAGGTGTGGACGACTAAGGTGTGTACACCAGAGGTATTCCAGTGCAGAGCTCACAGTGCCTGGGGGCTGACTGCATGTCCAGGAGGATGGAGGCACCATGGGTAGCCTGTTTGCTGAAATGGACCCAGATGATCTTTCCTCTCCCCTGCTCTGAAGCAGATGCCTCCCACTTGGGTCAGTAACCCCTCCCAGCTTTGCAACTCTGTGTCCTGTTCTTTCCTTTTTTGGAGGGGCGGGTAAAGGGTCTCACTCTGTCACCAAGGCTAGAGTGCAATGGCGCAATCTTAGCTCACCACAACCTCTGCTCCTCCAGGCTCAAGTGATCTTCCTACTTCAGCCTCCTGAGTAGCCAGGACTACAGGTGTGTACCACCACACCTGGCTTTTTTTTTGTATTTTTAGTAGAGACAGGGTGTCACCATGTTGCTCAGGCTGGTCTTGAACTCCTAGCCTCAAGTGATCCTCCTTCCTTGGTCTCCCAAAGTGCTGGGATTACAGGCACGAGCCACCATGCCTGGCCACCTTCCTTTACTTTTGAGACTCACTTAGGTCAGGCTTCCCTCAACACAGATCACCCTACTGCAGGGACTCCTAAGAAGAAAGGCCTCTGGCTCACCCACCCATTGCAAGGTAGGATGATGTTCGAAAAATTTCTCTTCAAGGTGGTCCTAAAGGTCAGCCCTTCAAATAAATGGAACATATAAGTGGCTACTAAAAACAGTTATTTTTTTGGACCCAACAATACTACTTCTGTGATTCCACATTAAAGGAATAATTGGAAAAAAGGAAACTGTGTTATGCAGAAAAAATGTTCATTTCTAAAATCCAATGCTCACCAATATAAGATCAAGTGGGCAAGTAAATTAAGGAAATTCCCTCAATGACAGTTATGAATGTGGGAAAATACAAAGGACAAAACATTAAGCAAAGAACAAAATGTGTGCTATAGTTATGGCCATATCTTAAAAAGTATCACCATAGGCTGGGCGAGGTGGCTCATGCCTGTAATCTCAGCACTTTGGGAGGCCAAGGCCGGAGGATCGCTTGAGCCCAGGAGTCCAAGACCAGCTTGGGCAACATAGGGAGACCCCGTCTCTATAAAAAATTTAAAAATTAGCCAGGCGTGGTGGTGCAAGCCTGTAGTCCCAGCTACTTGGTAGGTTGAGGCAGGAGAATTGCTCGATTCCGGGAGGTTGAGGTTGCAGTGAGCCGAGAGATCACATCACTGCACTCCAGCCTGGGTGGCAGAGTGAGGGAAAAAAAAAAAAGGCATCATCTCCTAGCCATTAAGAAAAAGGCTGGAAGGAAACACATCAAAAACATTAACAGTAAAGAACACCCCAACAAAACATGACCAGTGATGATTTTTGGGTGGTGGGACTATGGGAAATTTCTGAAAAACCTGGCCTTTACTACTGTGCATTTTCTGAATTTTCTATAATGTGAATTGTCTTCATCATAAAAAAAAAAAGGAATGGGTAAACCTTTTAGAGAATGGAGAAAAGCCAGCAATGCCCCTGTGCTGGAGTCAGAGGGCAGAGGCCAGGTGGTGGGGCCAGCGCCTGTACCTTCGGCACGAATACCAGGCAGAGGGTGATGGTGCTGCAGAAGATGATGACCAGAGCCACGATGCAGAACTGCACATTGGGCTGGTCCCGGGTCAGGAAGGAGACAGCGGCCCCGATGATGCACATGATCCCCACGTTGTAGACACTCATCCCGATGTACTTGCTGTCGTTGAGTGCGGGGATGCTGACGTTGCGGGTCTCCCAAGCTAAGAAACAACCGAACAACTGAAATGGTGAACAGAAAGGGGAGAGATGATCGTTACCAAGGGGTGGCACACACAGGCTGCTCTGAGAAGCTGTGGAGTGGAGGGTTACTCAGGAGGTGGGCTGCAGGGAGGGAGGGTCGGGGGCCTTGCTGTCAGCCGGGTCTTCTGGATGTCACCATCTGTCCCCACTTGTGGCCCTGCTGAGTCCTGCTGAGCAAATGCAGACTGGGGATGTGACAGCTGTCCAGTTCTCCTGCACCCCTATGACTGGTTCATGCACAGACCTGCCCAAGGCTACAGTGGAAGGGAACTTCAGATAAGATCTCAGCTTTCTCCCTCACTCTCTAGGGAATACTAATATCCAGAAGGGTGAAGAGGTCTGCCCAAGGCCGCACAGCAATATGGTAGCAAAAATGGGCTGTGTTTTTAGAAATTCACTCCAGTCTTTTTTCTATTAAACTAAGCAGATCCCTTGTGTCTGAGACTTCTATTGTCCCCAAGCACACACAGACACCCAGAATAGCGACTACATTTTTCAGCTGCCCTAGAGGCTAGGCGTGGCATATTGCTAGCTTCTGGACAATGCCTGTAAATAGAAGTGGTGTGCACATGTTCTGGGAAGTGTCTTTAAAGGGAAGAGGTGTTGCTTTTCCTCCTTCCTAACAGCTGGAGTGGAATGTGATGGGTGGAGCTTCAGCATCCGTCTTAGATCACAAGGCTATGACGTGGAACCTGTGTAATGATGATGTGGGGGCTGCAAGATGCAAGGAACTGAGATTCTGGGAGCCTTACCCCAGCCCTAGACTGCTTACCTCTGGACTAGGTTTACCTGAGAGGAACATTTCCTGTCTCTTCAACCATTATTATTTTGGGTTTTTCTGTGACTTGCAGCTCTACTCCTAACCAATAGATGTCTTGACAGAAATGGACAGGGTAGAGGCCAACTATGATCTGAAGCAGGGTGTCGAGGGTTTAACCCTTATGGGTGGTCTAAGGGGAGGGCGGGCTGCAGGGACAGCTCAGGTGGGTGTAGGGCAGAATGGTGGTGTGGTGGGCAGGAGGAAGAGCCAAGATGGCTGACTGGTACAGGGACCTCTGCTTTAGTGCAGCCCCTCCAAGAGGCCTTCTCTCTCACAAAGGCCCCTCTTCCCTTCGGCTTCAGCAGGGCAGCTTCAGGCGTCTGACAGCTGCATGAACCATTTAACATCACACTGAGGACCTGTGTTTAGAGATTCGATGGCAGCATAACGCTGTGTGGTAGAAGCAGGGCTGGACACAAGGCCAGGGGATATGGAATCTGCTCTGCCATCTGTTGGCTGGGTGACCTGGGCAAGTCACTTCACCTCTCAGGACCTTACTTTCAACGTCTGTGGACTGGGAATAATAATAATAATAATATCTATGTCACAGGGTTTGTGTGTGGATGAAATGGGAGGATGGATGTCAAAGCACTCTGTAGACTGAAATGTTCTGTACCAAGGTAATTTCAAAGCTATTTGTAATTGATCTTATTTTATACAAGCATGATTGTTTTCCTCTCCCTTGTCTTTTATCCTTTCTCTAAATGTGTTATCTCACAGCCTGATTTATTCCTTTTAAAAAATTCCTTTTAAAATGGGGAACCAGGCTAGGCATGGTGGCTCACACCTGTAATCCCAGCACTTTGGGAGGCCAAGGCAGGTGGATTATCTGAGGTCACGAGTTTGAGACCAGCCTGGGCAAGGTGGTGAAACCCCAACTCTACTAAAAATATAAAAATTAGCTGGGCATGGTGGTGCATGCCTGTAATTTTAGCTACTTGGGAGGCTGAGGCAGGAGAATCGCTTGAACCCAGGAGGCGGAGGTTGCAGTGAGCAGAGATCCTATCAGCCATGCTACTGATGGGCCACCAAGCCACTGTGAAGGTCTCCACAATAAATGTGGGCTACTCTGGGGACCTGGTGGTTGGCTGTAAATCTCTAAAGAGTGTCAGGAGGAAACACAAAGTAACTTGTTCTTAGGCCCTCAAAAAGTAGAATGAGGGTTCATGGGCACAAGTTACACTGAGGAAGATTTCCGCTGAGGATTAGGAAGAACTTTCTAGAAAAGCACTCCATCTGTGGGTTGAATGGTGACTCTAAAAGATATGTCCATATCTTAATTCCTGGAAACCGTGAATGTGACCTTATTTGGAAAAAGGGTATTTGCAGATATAATGAAGGATCTTGAGATGAGATCATCCTGGATTATCTGGAAGGACCCCAAATCCAATGATAAGTGTCCTTATAAAGGACACACAAAGGAGACCCTTGGGGAGAAGAAGAGAAGGCCATGTGGAGACAGAGGCAGAAACTAGAGTCATGCGGTCACAAGCCAAGGCATGCCTGGAACCATCAGGTGCCGGAAGAGGCAAGGACGGATTCTCTCCTGGAGCCTTCAGAGGGACCACAAGTGTCTGTCTGGATTTTGGACCTCTGGCCTCCACAACTAGGAAAGAATACATTTCTGTTTGTTTTGTAAGCCACTGTTTTGTGGTAATTTGTTATGACAGCCAAAGGAAACGAACACATCATCCACGAATGGCACAGGCTCCTTTGAAGAGGGCGAGCGCCCCATCACTGGAGGTATAGAAGCAGTTAGTCAATGAATGCTTTGGGGGATGCTCAGGGTGGGCTGGGGATTGGGGCCAAAACATCTGGCAGTGGGGTGGACCCAAAGGGCTGTGTGTGCTTCTCCCAGCCTTGAGATTCTGTGGCTCTAAAATAGAAGGATTAGGGGGATGGCAGTGGGATTTTAGTCATAAACCTTAAGGGCCAGGAGGCTGGGGACAGTTCCTTGCATGTTCTAAATGGTGAAGCATTTGTGCTATTAAATATAGCTTTTGTTGACATGAGCTGGCTGAAGCTGTTAGCTTCACGGGAAGACATACAGTCATTTCTCATCTCCAACCACTTTGGAAGTAGGTGGGAGAAGACAATGAATGATCAAAACATTACAAATAAATCCAGTTTAAAGATGTCAATATGATTCATCGTAATCTATTTTCACGGAATGAGTCTCAGAATCAAGGAACATTAAGGATGGAAGGATCACGGAGACAGTCTAGATTCTCTCTATTCAACCAGGGTCAGGGAGGCACAGGTCATTGACATGACATGCTTTCCCATGACAGGGAGCTTGTCCTTCTTAGGGGCTCCATGGCATCTATGGACAGGGCTGCCTGTTACAAGAATCCATCTTTACATGGAGATGGAGTCTGCCTTCCAGCAACTTTGCTTGGGGCTGACGGTTCTGCCCTCAGGTCTGTGCCACCCATTGCTGAGAGCTCTTCCAAGTTTCTGGTGACTATGAGTGTGTCCTTGTCCAAACCCAGGACCTTTGGCCAGTCCTCAAGTTCCTATTTCTATATTGGGTACCTCCTGTGGACACCCCCAGGGTCATTACCTTGTGCTCAGATTGCAGCCCAGTGGTCCTGTTGCTTGCATGGGAGCTCAAAAGACTTCTATGGAAAACCATAAAAGGGTGTCAACTGGTATGAAGTGGGGACCAATCTTTGTCTAGGGTCCTCTTACATGCCCTTCTGGCATGGCCTCTCAAAGGACACAGGATCAATCACTAACACTTCAGTGATGCAGCAGCAGGTAAGAATGCATTTGAGCAGCACAAGAGATTCCAGTTTATTTGACTTTTGGAGAGAGGGCTTCATTTTTGGCCTCTAAGTGGGGTCAAACGGGGGTGAATGGTGACTTAACCTCCCTGTGGAAAGATCTGAGGAGGGCGCAGTGACCAGCTTTGTGTCACTAGATGGCTTTCAGTGGAAGCATGGTTTATATAGGATATAGGAGAGAAGATTCAAGGATCAACCTGGGCTGAAATATGGTGGAGCTGACCTTTCAAGTTCTTCCTAATGTTGGAATTTCACAACGTGGGCTTGGTATGTGATCTTTGATTTTTTTTTTTGAGACGGAGTTTCGCTCTTGTTGCCCAGGCTGGAGTGCAATGGCCTGATCTCGGCCCACCGCAACCTCTGCCTCCCGGGTTCAAGCGATTCTCCTGCCTCAGCCTCCAAAGTAATTGGGATTACAGGCGCCCACAACCACACCCAGCTAATTTTGTATTTTTAGTAGAGATGGGGTTTTGCCACGTTGGTCAGGCTGGTCTCGAACTCCTGACCTCAGGTGACCCACCCACCTCGGCCTCTCAAAGTGCTGGCATTGCAAGCATGAGCCACAGCACCTAGCATGATCTTTGATTTCAAAAGATGAGTAAAGTGGAAAGAGTGCTGGGTTTGCAGTTTGGAGGTTACTAGGCAGCTTTTGGCAAATCATTTAACCTCTCTGAGGCTTACCCTCCTCATCTATTAAATGGGGATGATCCTGCCCACCTCCCATGGACTTAAGAGAGGGTCCGCTGAAATGCTGGACATGAACATGCACTGGATGTCGGCAGACTGCTCTTCCTGGGAGTAGTGCAGTGACAGCTGTAAGGCACAGCCACGAGTTTTTGGGTTACTCTCTGGTTAAGATCTTGACTCTGCCACTTACTAGCCAGATGACCTTGGGCAAGACACCAAGCCTCAGTGTCATCAGTGAAATGAGGATGTTATTTGTACCTATCTCATAGGGTTGCTGCAGGAACTGAGATAGCATGTGGCAGGCACTGAGTCCACAGAGAGTAACTGCTTAGTCATGGAGGCTCTGTTTATTTTTACATTGATGGAGGCCCCTGGGAGACAGAGGCCCAACAAAGAAGTGTCCCCCCTCAACACTGTCTCCTGCTCTGCACCTACCATGAGAAGTCCCTTGTAGGCATAGACGATGCCAAGCCAGATGGTCATATGGGTGTTCTCACAGTGCTCCAGGAGAGGGCGGATGGAGATATCCCGTCCTGCTGGGTCCGGCTGTGCAAAGAGAAAACAGAGACTCAGGGATGGCACAGGACACTCTTCCAGCAACTGGGTCCTTATCTGAGAGCCCTTTTCCCTCCTGTGAGCCATAGCCAATGCCACTGTTCAGCAGGCCATTTGGACCCCATCTCTGTGTTCCTAAGGTGTGGAGCCCAGGCCTCAACTAGCGTTGACTGCCTTCTGTTTGTTGGTAGCAATTCAACCCTGCACTCCAGTTCTCTGCATAATTCATGCCTCTCCAATTTGAGTCAGAGCTCCTGAGGGTAGGAACTGGGTCACTTCTTTGCCCCTAGGATCTAACACAAAACCTGGCCCAATGCAGGTACCGCTAATATTTGTTGTGAGAATGAGGTATAAAGTTAGGTCAGGAGGTCTTCAGGTATCTCTGGGGTTACCTCTGTGCAACTGGAGATATAGGATATACTGGCCTGCCCAAGCCTGGGGCCTGCCAAACCCTTCTGAGGAGACCCTCTTGCCCACAGCCCCACTGCTGGAGCAGTGATGGCAGCCAGGTTGTGTACCACATGACTCATCCTTGGCCAGAGCTGACTGGACAAAGAATGGGCACCTGACCCCAGGCAGCCAATCCAGAGGCTTGTCAGATACCTATGAGGTTTCCTCCTACAAAGTGCTCTGCCTAATGAGGGTTGATGGAGAGGATCCCTCCTGAGCACATTCTCTCTGGCAGGAACTTGAATTGGGAAACTCTGGGAGATAATTGGCCAGATGGTGGCAACAAGACAAAAAGACACCCAGGGAATGAAACAACATCTACTGTACATTTATTTTTTTCTGAACCATTTGAGAGTAAATTGCAGATATCCTGACCCTTCACCCCTGAATATCCTAGCATATATTTCCTAAGAACAAGGGATTCCCTTGCACAATCACATACACTTACTAAATTCAGAAAATTTAACACTGATACAGTGTATTATCTAATATACTAGCCATTTTCAGATTTTGCCAATTGGCTTAATAACGTCCTTTAAAGCAACTGTGGATTTTCCAATGCAGGATCCAATCCAGCATCATTATTGCACTTACGTGTCTTTGGTTTCCTTTAATCTCAAACAATTCTTCAGCCTACTTTGGTCTTTCATGTCATTGTTTCTGAAAAATCTAGTTCAGTTATTTTGTAGAAGCCCCTCAATTTGGATTAGCCTGAATGTTTTATATTCAGATTTTATGTATTCTTGTCAGGAATCCTACATAAGTAAGAGTCACATCAGGGGGACGCGTTGGCACTCTGTGATCACTTGGTTGACATGATTTCTGTCAGACATCCATTTCAAAGGTATCATTTCCCCATTTGTAATTAATAAATAATCTGTGGGAGCTACTTTGAGACTGTGTAAGTATCCTGTTCCCCCACAAATGTTCACGCAGTGGTTTCAGCAACCATTGATAATTCTTACCTGAGTCATTTATTACTTTGGTAGCTGCAAAATGGTGATTTTCTAACTCTACCATTCTATTTAAACACTTGGCATTCTACTGCAAAGAAGAGCTTTCCTTTCCTCCCATTTATTTATGTATATCAGTATGTTCCTTTTTTTTGAGATAGAGTCTCTGTCACCCAGGCTGGAGTGCAATGTCGTGATCTCCGCTCACTGCAACTTCTGCCTCCTGAGTTCAAGCAATTCTCATGTCTCAGCCTCTTGAGTAGCTGGGATTATAGGCGGCCGCCACCATGCCTGGCTAATTTTTGTATTTTTATTAGAGATGGGGTTTCACCATGCTGGCCAGGCCGGTCTTGAGCTGCCGACCTTAGGTGATCTGCCCGTCTCCGCCTCCCAAAGGGCTGGGATTACAGGCATGGGCCACCATGTCTGGCCTAGTATGTTCCTTTTTAATTCAATGTCTTATAATCCTTTGCTATCTTATTCATGTTGATGCTTAAATTTTTCCAGATTGGGCCAGTGGAAAACAACTTCATGCTGCCTTCTATGTTTTTTCCACACATCACCATAATTTTTTTGAGCACTTTCTTACTTCTTGGCACAACGATTCCAGCACTCCTTGAACTCTTCTTGCTCCCAGCCTTGCAATCAACCATTTCTCCAAGGAGTCCTTGTTCTTTTTAGTGGAGAATGGTGTTTAGAAACCAAGATGTAGGCACTTGATGGTCTCACTGTTCCTAAGTTGTCACTACTTCTAAGCTCTTTTAAAAATAAATCTGTCTGTCTGTCTGTCTAGATAAGATCCAACACTGCCGAGTTCTTGCTTGCCTTCCCCATTCCATATTTTCATCACTCTTCTCCAACAGTGGAATCCCTGCCTTCGAACAACATCAAAATATTTACTGATTTGTTCAGTCCTACATTAGACACTAAATAGTTGCAAAATTGATACATCCATACAACTGTCAAGCACAAACTTACTAAGTAAAGTTGAAGATTCCTTTGCAATCTGTTTGCCACTGGGAGTATATCACCAAATAACTGTGTTCAGGATGTTATATTCTGATGGAGTTGTGCTGTTGAGGCCCAGGGTAAAGCCACACTCCTGAGGGTAAGGCATGGGCATCCCCAGGGTCAATCACTAGGAAGAAGGTACTTTGATGGGACCCAGGGGTAGAAGGCAGGTCTTAGACGGGTAGCGTTTAGAAACTAGTTTTTTGGTCTTGCTCTCCAGGTGTGACCTTTGAAGCAGGCAATGGACCTGGGCTTCTGTGAGGTGGGGGAAAGATGGTGCTCCCACGTGAAAGCAGGAGGAGCTAGGAGGGGTGGGACCTGGGGGTTCAGGCCATTTTTTGACCAGATCATCCTGCTGTGTGTTCTCTCAGGCTTGATTTGCCTTTCGCTGTCCCAAGCCACAGAAAGCCTTAGCTCAACCTCTTTGGGTCCATGTGCATTGAGTCCACACTTGGG
The DNA here is from genome assembly GCF_000001405.40 of Homo sapiens. Lineage (NCBI taxonomy): Eukaryota > Metazoa > Chordata > Mammalia > Primates > Hominidae > Homo > Homo sapiens. The sequence goes on from NC_000009.12 coordinate 98,314,085, forward strand.
CTGGAGTGCTAGAGGGGATAATGTGGTTTCCTGAAGGCTCTGCAGTAAGAAACACCCCGGAGGGAGGTGATCTCCAGAAACTAAAGTCAGAGTGGCCAGGGGTAGAGATTTCCCCTCCACTGCTACCCACCCAGGAGCTGGGCTGCATTTTATTAAGGGCAATGGGGGTTTCCTGACATCCTTTCATTGTTTAATTAAGGTGACAGAACTGGCTTGGTCCCAAGGTCAACTGACTTAGTGGCAGAATCTGGGTTTCTCCAGTGTGTGACAATCAGGCCAACATCAGAATGCAGTAGCACGGACCCATTCCAGTTATGCATGAATGGCAAACCCATTAACGGTGATCCTGTCTTTTCCTCTACAATGAACAGCAGTAATTTATGATGGAATCTTAGATTCTCGGTGTGGAGAAAATTAGTTGTGTCATACAGCATTGCTCAATGGGATGAAGTGCTCTTCACAGGAAACTGACAAGGCTTGCCTGGCTTACACACTGCAGTGGCAGGGAGCCCCTCCCTCCTGCTCCCGGTGAGGTAGTACACAGTGCTTTCACGGAGCCACAGCCTTCTCCTCCTGGACCTCCACTCACCGGGGCTCATCTCTCCCCTGGGGTTCCCCAGAATAATTCCAAGCTCTCTCTTTGAGTCTGCACACCTTCCACAGGAGGGAAGATCTACAGAGAGGGGACACACCACTGTGCCTTCCTCCACCCAGGCCACCTTGTCAGTCAACCTGCTGGAGTTTACCACTGCTCTACAGATTTACCACTCCTACAGGCTTTGAATGGAGCTCAGTACTCCAGGCAGTGCTGAGCAAGTCAAGTGCTGAGCAAGTCAGCTTGACCTCTTTCTCTGGGTCTCCTTGGCTTTCTATATAATCTTCCACCAGTGATTCATGTGTTCCTTCAGGTTGGACCAAGACCCATCAGGTAGTTTTCACAGAACTGCTGCTAGCCCAGTCTTTCCCCCTGTGCTGCTGACATTCCAGCCTGGCTACCTTTACCTTTCTCTTAGCTGCTCCCCTTCCCCCGCAACCCCACCTTCACCGCTCTGACCTCTCGGAATCTTGAAATCTGAATTCTTATCTTTGGCCTTTCAGTTCCGCACCCATCTCAGCAGCCTTAAGCACAGTCCTGGCAGGAGGGTAGCAAACAAACACGATGGGTCCACTGAGAGTTCATGGAAGTCAGTGGTCCTGGGGTGGCCGAGCTGCTCCCACACCCACCTTCCCCATATTCAGGTGCTGATCCAGAAATAAACTGCAAAAATGTTCTGGTCACTAATGTCATCCTCATGCAGCCCCATCTCCCTGTCACAGGTCAGAGGTTACGGTGGCAGGGGTTGGGATAGTTTTGGGAGTGATGATGTTCCTGTTCCTGTGAGGCTGGCAATGGGCATCTGGAAGAAAATCAAGTGACTCCTGCACTGAACCACAAAGCAGACTGTACAAGCTGTAGGTGTTGTCTAATCCATCCAGATTCTACCTGGGCCTGGAGTTCGCAGTGGTCTGTGCAGCCACACATGGGGAGAGATGCACCTGAGCATGCAACCTGCAGGGGCAGGTGGGCTACCCACCCCCCAACCCCCAGTGCTTCCTTGTCATTGTCGTGCACCAAAGCAGCACCACTAGAGGGCACCAAAGAGCCACATGAAGGGTCCAGCCTGGTGGTGGTGGATTACCCTCTGCTGGGGACACAGAACTACCAACTACTATAGATCGGTGGGGCCGGAAACGGTGAAGCTGTCAGCAGCATCTTGTGCTACTCTGGAAGGCACCCACTGGCCTTACATGAGGCCAGATTTCCAAGCACCATGGGGGACTCCCCCACTTCTGGAGCAGCTGTTGGGGAAGTATTCAGGCTATACTTGGGCACTGCACTCGGCCTGTTCCCAGTGTGGACTGTCCACGCAGGCCAGGGCCAGCGAGCACAGGGCACTGACCCCTGCAGACATCAGGGTCAGGGCCTAAGCCCGGGCTTCGGCCTCTTCTCTTCTGTACAGGACAGCATTTGCATTGCCCTTAGAATGTTTTTCTTGCTCTGGATAGCTGGCCTGCAAAATTTTCAACTGGCTTTTTTTTTTTTCGAGACAGAGTTTCACTCTTGTTGCCCAGGCTGGAGTGCAATGGCGCAATCTCAGCTCACTGCAACCTCTGCCTCCTGGGTTCAAGCGATTCTCCTGCCTCAGGCTCCCGAATAGCTGGGATTACAGGCATGCGCCACCACGCCCAGCTAATTTTTGTATTTTTATTAGAGACGGGGTTTCTCCATGTTGGTCAGACTGGTCTCGAACTCCCAACCTCAGATGGTCTGCCTGCCTCAGCCTCCCAAAGTGCTGGGATTACAGACGTGAGCCGCTGCACCCGGCCACTTTTGTTATTTTTCTTCCTTACTTGTTGCTCTCTTTGGCAATTGCCTAAGAAATCATTCATTCATTCATTCATACAGTGAATAACTGTTAAGCACTACCATTTGCCAGATACTGTTCTGGGCATGCAGCAATAACCTGGATAGACAAGAGCCCTGTCCTCATGGCTCTCCCATTCCAGTAAGACCAGGACAGTTCCCATGAGAGGCAGCCTCAGAGAGAGAGGGCTGACTTCACCAGATAACATCAGCCATAAGGACACCAAGAGCTGCCTTATCATGAGTGACAATGATGTGCTCACTGCTGGGTTGGGAACTCTACACCCGTCATCTTGTTGAAGTCACAAAAATCCAACAAGGTGTTATACTTATTTCACAGATGAGGAAACAGAGTCACAGAGAGGTGAAGTAACTTGCCCAAGATCTCCAGCTAGTAAGTCTCGGGGCTGAGATTAAACCCAGGCGTGTGTGACTCTCAAACCAGCACTCCCTCCTCCTTCACCATGAGCCTTCCCTGATGTGCCCTCCTCTCACGTGCATCATTGTGTCAAATCGGAGGAGACAGTGGGTGTAACCGGCTCTATAAACTGCAAAGTGCTTATTTGAGGGAGGAAGAACTTAATCGTTAAATATTCAACAGTGGCTTCCCCTGAAGCCCCCAGAGCTTTAGGGTGAAGGCTGCGCTTTGGTGCTGCGAGCTGAACTCAGGCTGATAAAATGCTCTTTCCTGCCTGGCAGGGCACCGTGTCCAGCAGTGAGGCCACACCGGTTTGGGACGGCCAGAAGATGGAAGTGCTCACACCTGACTTCTGGTCAGGCTGCTGCTCAGCAGGAGGCACGCAGAAGCTGCCGGGGAAAGCCTCTCCCATCTGTGCGGCAAAAGGAGAGCAGCTGGCCCGAGAGTCCCTCTGCATAATGCAATTACTCACAATGTAGGTCAGTGCCCCCTGCAAATATCCCGCTCTGTCCGGCTGCACAAACTGACAGGCAGGGAGTTGGAGCATAAGTGGAGGTGTTGAGGCCTGAAAGGTCAAAAGCCTTGGTCCTGCTACAGACTTGCTGGGTGATCTTGGGCAAATCCCTGCCCTTTTCTAGACCTCAGTTTCCCATTTGTGAAGGGAGCCCATGGGTTGATTTACAGTGTAGTTAATGGGAGTCTGAGTCATTGGGAGATGACTCTATCTGTCCTACATTTCATGACTGTATTTGTCCTACATTCATTCATTCGAAATCGACTCCATGAGGATTTGTCATGTGCCTGCTGTGTGTCATGCACCATGTTGGTGTGGGGGTACAGGATGAATGAGACCAACATGGCGCTTGCCTTCTTGGAGGGTACATTCCAGTGGAACGGGGGCTGCTCAACAAACACAGGCATTCAACAAACCACACAGTACAGTTATGAATACAAACAGTGATAAATATTCCTAAAGGAAACTACGGGCACTTGGAGGGGTGCTAATGAGGGAAGTTGTTTCAGATCAGGTAGCCTGGGATGGCTACTCTGCAGTGGTGACATTTAGTCTGAGACCCGGCAGATAAGAAATGCCAGCCATGTGAAAAGCTAGGGGAAGAGCACGCATGGCAGAAGGCATGGCAAGGGAAAAGAACCTGAAATGCAAAGACATCAGCATATTTGAGGAACCCTCATGTGGCCAGAGAGGCTGAAGTGTGATAAGCGAGAGGACAGCATGGCTTCTCACTCGATAATGTGAGCACAAAGTGCCTGGGGAGCTTGTTAAAATGCAGATTCAGGTGCGCGGTCCCGGGTGGGGCCTGGGATGCTGCATTTCTAAGCAGTTCCAGGGGAGGAGCTGATCCAGGGGCCACCCTTTGGGCAGCAAGGCCTTAAAGGATTTGAAACAGTAGGGTAATATTTGGTTCTCAGCTTAGAAGCAGTCTGGTTAAGAACGCAGATTCTCTTTGTCACCCGCACACCTCTGACACAGAGTGATGACTTAGCGCAAGGCCAGACTTGACAGGGCTCCTCTGTATGTTTCTGACCCTGGACCAGACCTTGACAATCATGTGCTTCTGTGTGTCCTGTGCAGGGCTGGCCAGGGCGGTTAGGGGTGGGCGAGGCAACAGGCCCAGGCAGGGAGGATGGGGAGTCCAGATGGTGCACATGAGGAGGGCCACGCAATTCACCTCTGATCACGGGGCTCTTGGCGCGGGTCACTCGGACCTTTTATTCCTGCCACCACTGTGGGTGGAAAGGGTTCCTAGGCCCAGCCCAGCCCGGCCCGGCCAGTGCTCCTTTGAGGGAGGGGGTGCTTTCCACCTTCTGACCAGCTCCCAGAAGTTGGCATGCAGAACTTTCTCCCTGGGCCATACCTGCCTCTTTTCTTTTTTCAAATTCCAAAGTTGATTTTTAAAGTATATGGTAAAATTGGTAGGTTTTTCTGCTGGGGGTGAGTGTAGGTGTGCATGTAAATGTGAGTTTGTGTGTGTGTGTGTGTGTGTGTTGGGGGTGTGTGTGTGTGTGTGGTGTGTGTGTATTAGGGGGTGTGTTTGGCCTTCCCAGACTGCATTTCAGAGTTTTGAGATGGTTCTCCTTTCCTGGGAAGGCAGGTGAGTCAACATGGCCTCTTTTGGGGTGCCAACAAGGATGCCTAGGCAGGGAGGGGAAAGGGCCCTGGACTCAGATCCCAAGTCCACCTCTTGCCAGCTGTGTGACTTTGCACATGTCTCCCAGCCTCTCTGAGCCATAACTTCCTCATCTACAACCTCCCAGGGCTGGCAAGATGATCAAAGGAGGTGCGGTGTGACTCGCAAGCTGGAGAGACGGGAAAGCCTGCTCCTGATGTGGAAAGCATCATTATTATCCCCCACTGCAGACAGCCACAGAGCGCTGGAGCTGGGAGGAACCTTCCAGATCCCTCAGGGGCTGGACTGCTTATCTCCACAGCAGCAGCCCCGCACCTCTGAGGCAACAAAGCTAGAAGCTGTCATTTCAAGTAAGCATTTTTTTTGTAGAATGTTATGATTACAAGTTTGGGTGATTTTTTTTTTTTTTCCAGAATCAGAGATCTGGAAAGGACATGTAAGATCACCCACCAGGGTTTCTCAACATGGGCACTTCCAGCCACTTTTCTTTGGGGATGCAGAGAGCAATTATTTGTTGGGAGGGACTATTCTGTGCTGGGTGGGGTGCACAGAACCCCTGGACCCCGCGTACTAAAGGCCATGAATGTCCTCTAGTCACTGTGACAGCCCTGATCTCCCTCCCGTCTCCCCATTTCCAAACACGAATGGGGTTCTGCATTGATCCAGTTTCTCTTCTTATAGGTGGAGAAACGCAGGCGCAGAAAAGAACCTGGAACTAGCAGCTGTTTTGGCAGCCAGATGAGATGCCCCCTGGGAGAGCCATGCCTCTTGTGGAAAGGGCCTGCTCCTCCTCACCTTCAGGAAGTTCTACTAAAATTCAGTAATCTTACTAGGCAGTAAGATTCAGGACATAGGCATGGGCAAGGACTTCATGTCTAAAACACCAAAAGCAATGGCAACAAAAGACAAAATTGACAAATGGGATCTAATTAAACTAAAGAGCTTCTGCACAGCAAAAGAAACTACCATCAGAGTGAACAGACAACCTACAAAATGGGAGAAAATTTTCGCAACCTACTCATCTGACAAAGGGCTAATATCCAGAATCTACAATGAACTCAAACAAATTTACAAGAAAAAAACAAACAACCCCATCAAAAAGTGGGCGAAGGACATGAACAGACACTTCTCAAAAGAAGACATTTGTGCAGCCAAAAAACACATGAAAAAATGCTCACCATCACTGGCCATCAGAGAAATGCAAATCAAAACGACAATGAGATACCATCTCACACCAGTTAGAATGGCGATCATTAAAAAGTCAGGAAACAACAGGTGCTGGAGAGGATGTGGAGAAATAGGAACACTTTTACACTGTTGGTGGGACTGTAAACTAGTTCAACCACTGTGGAAGTCAGTGTGGCGATTCCTCAGGGATCTAGAACTAGAAATACCATTTGACCCAGCCATCCCATTACTGGGTATATACCCAAAGGACTATAAATCATGCTGCTAGAAAGACACATGCACACGTATGTTTATTGCAGCATTATTCACAATAGCAAAGACTTGGAACCAACCCAAATGTCCAACAACGATAGACTGGGTTAAGCAAATGTGGCACATATACACCATGGAATACTGTGCAGCCTTAAAAAATGATGAGTTCATGTCCTTTGTAGGGACATGGATGAAATTGGAAGTCATCATTCTCAGTAAACTATCGCAAGAACAAAAAACCAAACACCGCATATTCTCACTCATAGGTGGGAATTGAACAATGAGATCACATGGACACAGGAAGGGGAACATCACACTCTGGGGACTGTTGTGGTGTGGGGGGAGGGGGGAGGGATAGCATTGGGAGATATACTTAATACTAGATGACGAGTTAGTGGGTGCAGCACACCAGCATGGCACATGTATACGCATGTAACTAACCTGCACAATGTGCACATGTACCCTAAAACTTAAAGTATAATAATACAAAATAAATAAATAAATAAAATAAAATTCAGGAACTGCTTGAGGGGTAAGGGGACCACTGGTGCATTTGTGACCCAGGAACAGGACCTGGAGCCTACAGGAAAGGCCTGGGAAAGGGCAGGAGTCTCCAGCAGGCTCAGGACCTTCCCAGGACTCGGCCCTGGGGGGTCTGAGGCAATATTTCCTGGATCTCAATACCCAGGAGGTCCCAGCTGACGTGGGACAAGAAACTATTCACATGGTCACCCGATTTTTGTTGAAGGCACATTATTGAGTGGACGTTTCTGCTTGCTGACCTCAGGCAAGCAAATCCCTTCCCCTCAGAGGCCCCCTCCATGCCCACATTCAGTGATTCCATGGTAGCAACACTAGACAAGAGCAGACACTCCCAGGCCTGGTTGCTGGGCTCTTGCCTGTACCCCACCCTCAGCAGGATGGGGCAGCCTGGACCCCTCATGCCCCAACCTGGCAGAAGTCATCAGGGTGGCATTGCCCGGGAGTGCACGTGGGTGCAACCAGTGGCTGAACCACCTCTGTCCTGAGAGTGGAGCCCTGCTTTCCTCCTGTAGTCCAGGGACAAGCCTGACCTACCAGCAGCAGGCAGAGCCAAGGTGGGCGGTGGGGACCACTGTAGGACCCTGACCCAGCAGGCAGACGATGGGGAGAATGATGACAGGAGACAGAGAAAGACAAAAGGAGCTGAAGAGGAACCTGGTCCCTCAGACATGGCATGGTACAGTAAGATCCTGACAGCTGTCAATTAAACCCGGAGAAGAAATAAAGTAAGAACATGACGACAGCACAGTTGTGTGGCTTATACTTGGCACTAAATGACTGAGAGAGAAAAGCACCTTGCCCTTACTTGCTTCCTTGATTGCCTTCTCTCTTGCATGCTTTTGCCCCCTTCCCCTGCCCAGGGCCACAGCCCAGCCCTGGCCTGAAACTCGTCCTTCCCTGCTTTCTGCTTCTCAGCCTCTTGGTCCCCTCTTTCTTCCCCTTCAGCAAGCTTCTTGAAAAAGGAGTCCTCACACTCCCATCCATCATCTTCCCCTCCCACCGCTCTCCAGCCTAGTTCTGCTGAATTGCTCCCCCATCATTTCCAGGGAACTCTTGGTGGCCAGATGCAGGGGATCCTATTTGGTCCTCTGCTTCCAGGCCCTCTGGGCTGGCCCAGAGGGGGCACCAGGGGCACCCTCTACTCCTGCCTAGCCTCTCCCAGTCTGAATTTATTGCCTTCTCCCTTAAACCTGCTGTTCCTCTGGGTTGGCTAGCTCAGAAAGCAGCCCACTGTCTGCCCAGGTGAGACCAGAACCTGGCGTCTCTCCAGCCTTTCTCATTCTTCAATGCCCACCCTGGCTCCAACATCCAGCCGCCTGTCACATGCAGGTGAATGCACCTGTGTGAAGTTCTCTCCCCTTTGCCTTCCCTCCTGCCCCAGGCTCTTGCCCTCGGTCAGGACCTGGTCTCCTGTCTCTTCCCAACCCATTCCTCCTCTATGTTGCCTCCAAGTGATCATCCGCGCCGTGCTAATTCCATGCTCCAAGACCTTCAGTGACTCCCCAGACTGCAGTAAAGACATCCGGGCCCCATGATCCTGGCTCCCATCCCCCTCCATGATCTGACCCCCCCATACCCGTCCAGCCTTGTTCCCCATCCCCCAGTCTCAGCCATGAGTCAGTCCATCATCTCTCCTCCTATGACACAGTCCATCATCTCTCCTCCTGGTGCCCTTATTGTGGGGTTTCCTTGCCCTGGGATACCCTTCTTCATAGGACGGTGAAGTTCGCATCCATTCCTCCAGGCCTCTGGGCTCCTCCCACATCCACTGCCCAAAACATCTTCCTTCCTGTCTTTTTCGGGAGGACTTAGTCTGTGTTAGAGGTATCTGTGTTGGACTCTTTCCTGTTCCGCTATCGCCCCCACCCCTGTCATCTGTACTTCCTCTGACCCCCTCACATTTACTAACTGCTCACTGTGGGCCAGATTCTGTGCTGAGTGTTATATACACTGTCCCATTTCACCCAATCAATCAACCACCGCAGACACGAGCGCCAGCACCACACCATTTTAGGGGACATTAAACGAGGCTCCGTAAGGCTGAGTGACCCGCTCCACGTTACACAGGAGTGAAGGGGAGTGGAACTGTGACTTGAACCCAGGTCCGCCTAACTCCTCTTGAAACCTTTTCTCTAAACCACTAATCTAGATCTTCCAACAGTGTGCCCTGGTCATGGTGTGGCGGGACTGGGTAGAAGGGCCCCACGACAGTGCTCTCCTCCGCCTGCCTTGGGGCACATGGATAGGCCAGGCACTGCCAGCCACGAGCAGGCTCTGTGGTCACCAGGGTGCTGTGCTAATATTGTGTGCTGTGATGTGAAAGAGGATGGAAAGCCCTGCCATAAATTAGACTTGATTGTGGCCCTGAGCTGGCAAGGGCAGCCCTCTTCCCCATAGTTCCTGCCTGGCCTAGGAGTGCCTGTTCAAGTGCCCCACCCAGCTGCATCTTGCCCTGGGCCAGACTCCTCTGGCCAAGGAGCCTCTCTGTGGGGGAGAGGGTGGTGGTTGGCCTTGGGCTTGGGGTCAGATCTGTGGCCCCTAAAGTGAGTAGAGCTCCCAGAGGGCCCTGCCCAAGCTGTCCAGCTCCAGTCCTCGTCCAGGCTGGCATCCCTCCCACCCAGGCCTTGGACCTCCCAGCCTAGACCTTGAGGCAGCTGAGCTGTTCCCACTCAGCCCTGGCATGGCCGTGCAGAGGCTGTGTCTCTCATCACCTTCTCACAGGGCTCTGCTGAGAACTCAGTGCACAACCTGGTTGGCTGTTCATGGTGACTCCCTGCTGTCAAGTCCAAGCCCAGCTTGGCGTGAATGGAGAGGTGACAGAACTAGAGTGCGAAGATTCTCTAAATCAGGACTCTGTACCACGTGGGATCCCGGACAGAGCTATTCTACTCTACTACAGCTGAGTGTGTGCACTCAATGTCAAGGTTTTCAGTTTCATTAGATCTGCCCAACCACCCTAGGAGGTTAGTAGGGCCATCAGCCTCCCTCACATTTTGCGCAGGAGAATACTAAGCCCAGGAGTGGGCTGGAACTTACCCAAGCTCACACATCAAGAATTCAGGGCAACTGAACCTCGAGCATCTTGACTGCAGGCTCAGGGCCCTGTCGGTTTTTCATGCTCCTCCCTGGGACTCTGGCTGATTCTGGGACTCCCAGCTCACACGGAGGAAGGCAGGCTGCTGCCTGGATGAACTTCAAGTGTTCCTTCTCCTGTTCCCTGCTACATCTTAGATTTTACAGTGTGTCCTTGGCTAAAGGCAGCCTGGGCACACTGCAGTGCCCTGGTGTAACGGACAGCCATGGGCCTTGCACTTGAACTAGGGTCTGGCCCCAGGACTGTGACATGCTCACCCTGAGCCCCGGGTTCTCCTCTGAGAAATGCTGGGGTCACCTGCTTTGAGGGCTGTTCTTAGTATGAAGCAAGAGCACAGTAAGACAAAAGACTACAGAGCCGACACACACACACACACACACACACACACACACACACACACACACACACAGAGTAGTGCATTCCAGAACAATATACTCATTTCATTTTCCTGTTGTCATTCAGAGAGGCGAGTGCACTGGGAGCCACAAAAGTGCAATGTTGCAAAGACTTTTCCAAAACAGGATGCGTAATGGCTGCTGTGGCCACTGCTGGCGGTGTGTGGGGATACCTGGGTAGCAGCAGGCCACCAGAGAGTGTGCATCCCTCCTTCTGTGCTCTGCAGTGGGGCTCATTTTTCTGGGCCAGGTTCTTGCCTGCCTGCAATCCTCCTCTGATGACGGAGTTACCAGTGATGCTCAGGATGCTCCGATTTCATTATAACTATAAACCTGTTCTCAACTCATCTCTCATATACCCTCTGGCAACAAATATATAGAAATGAACCTATAAACTTTGTACACACACATATACACACACACGCACACACATATAAGTCTTCTGAGGTTACATTATTCTAGTTTATAGGGTTACGCAACTTTCGGGCTTGAAGAGACTCAAGTGTCTTCTCTCATATCTCTTCCTTAGGGTACAGTCTCTGCCAACGGCCCACTGTCCAGTCTTTCTTTGCATACCTCTGGTGATGAGACACTCACTACCTCCTAAGGAAGCCCAGTTCATTTATGGTTAGATTGGACTTAAATGTGTGAACTTTCTTCCTTATTTTGAGCTGAAATCTATACTTCAGGGACTTTTTCCACTGTCCCAGGATCTGTCCTCTGGGGCTCTTCCCTTGGCTCTAGGACAGCAATTCTTTTTTTTTTTTTTTTTTTTTTTTTTGAGACAGAGTCTTGCTCTGTCACCCAGGCTGGAGTGCAGTGGTGTGATCTTGGCTCACTGCAACCTCTACCTCCTAGGTTCAAGTAATTCTTCTGCCTCAGCCTCCTGAGTAGCTGAGATTACACGTGCATGCCACAACACCCGGCTGATTTTTATATTTTTAGTAGAGATGGGGTTTCCCCATGTTGGTCAGGCTGGTCTTGAACTCCTGACCTCAGGTGATCTACCCATCTCGGTCTTCCAAAGTGCTGGGATTACAGGCATGAGCCACTGCACCTGGCCTAGCACAGCAATTCTGAGGTTAGAGACAGCAGTTGTGCCCTCTGAGCCAACTATAGGTTTCCAAGGGGATCTGAGTAGGGCAAGACAGTTGTCCCCTTCCCATGCCTAGCACCCTGTTCACCTGGGGCTGTTCCTGAACTTGCCTTAGTTATCTGGCAGCCAAACCACAGCATGGAGCTTGGCAGATTGCATGGTTAATGTCCACATTTATGGAATTTTGGGGCTTGCAATAGTCACACACACACATGCACATGATGTTCTCACACATATACATGCACAAGCACAAACACACACCTCTTTGGTGTTCTTCAAAGACCTAAGGGCCCATGCATCCTATGATTCAGAACCCCCAATATTTTCCTCTGCTGCCCAGGAGAAATACTCTAGTGACCTCCTTGTCATCTCGTCCCTCATGACCTTTGAGGATATGCAGCCTTGTGCGAAATTCCAAAAATAGGCTACCAAAGGCTACTGATAAGTGACCTTAATGATCTCACGACAAGTAATTGGGAAGAGCCAAATGAGAGAAGGGAGTGGCCAATCCAAAGGAAAGATGGGGCCGGGGGAATAAGAACAGGAATGCAGATTTAAGGAAAGTTGAAGTTGTACATTTTTTTCTATGAACCAAAGAATGTGAGGTAGCTTTGGCACAGCAAAACAGTGAGCATATAACTGCCTCTAACTATAATTTAGCATTTGTCACATATATAATCTCATGTGCTCCTGTAATAATCCCATGCAAGGTAGGACAGGAAGTATTAGACCTAATTTACAGAGGAGGAACCTGAGGCTCAGGGAGGCTCAAGGAACTGACCAAAGAAAAGAGAGAGTGGTAGAGGCTGATGCCACCAACATCCCATCTGCTCATGCATATTCTCAGCTTTTTTATAATTAGGTGGTGGGTGTGGGAGATCATGTGACTAAGTCTGGCCAATGGGCTGTGGGTGGAAGTGACATTTGACTCTTGTGGGCTGAAGCACTGAAGACCTGTTGCAAGATTGGCCTGCTGCCTTGTGTTGTGGTCCAGAACACAGAGTTGCCTCATGGAAGATGGCTGCCCTGGAGAACCACCTGGCTTCACAGCTGGATTTTGTGTGAGTGAGGAATAAACCCTTGTTGCACTGAGCTGCTGAGATTTAGAGGTTCCTTATTGGACCTGGCCAATACAGAAGGGCAATTACATTTATTTTTATGTCATCACGAGTCAGGTACTTTGCTAGGCACTCTGTATATGTCACCTCATTCAATTTTTGAAACTATTTTGTGAGAAAAGTATTATTTCCTCTTTGTACTATATGGGGAAGCTGAGGCACAGAGCAGTAAAGCCTACTTGCTCAGGGTCATAGAGCTACAAAGGTGTGGGCCTGGGCCCTGAATCTGGGTCTGTGTGATTGGAAGGCCTCGATGAACTCTGGAGATTTGCAGAAACAGATGGCTACTGTGTTTCAATACCCTGTTGGGCTAAACGCTTCTTTTGAAGATGGAAGACTGTGCAGATTGCTTTCTCATTCAGATTTTATGCCTGAGTAAAATCCTTGTGCTATGATTTATTATAGCAGCACTGATTTTCCAATTTTAAGACAACAATGCAGCTTGAAGTAAAATGGAAAGAAAACATGGAAACATTTTAAACCTGTGGTTTAGATCCTCATTATGTCTTGCGGGAACTGTTCGGGGGCTTCCTCAAACCTCTGCCTCCAGTCTCCCTTTATCCTCTCGACTGCTGGTGTCACTTTCTAAAACAGAACCTAAGCCTGCCCCCACCTGCTCAAAACCCACAGCGGCTCCTTGGCCCCTCCAGCAGCACTTCCTGAATTCAACTCCTTAGAATAGGTAGGTATAAATATGCTATATATTTTAATTTTGTGCTAAAATTTTAAATTGGCCATTTCTAAAACTTCTTTGGCTAATGGTCCCATAGCCAAAGAAGTTTTGGAAATGCAAATTTAAACATTTTTAACAAATAAAATTAAATTTATTAACTAAAAAATATAAGGCCGGGCGCAGTGGCTGATGTCTGTAATCCCAGCACTTTGGGAGGCTGGGGCGGGCGGATCACTTGAGGTCAGGAGTTTGAGACCAGCCTGGTCAACATGGTGAAACCCCGTCTCTACTAAAAATACAAACATTAGCCAGGCGTGATGGTGTGCACCTGTAATCCCAGCTACTCGGGAGGCTAAGGCACAAGAATCGCTTGAACCTGGGAGGTGGAAGTTACAGTGAGTCAAGATTGCGCCACTGCACTCCAGCCTGGGTGACAGAGTGAGACTGTCTCAAAAAAAATAAAATAAAATAAAATAAAACTGCAGAACTTTCCAGAGCCTTTAACCTGCTAAAAGTATATTATACATTTCCAAGAAGCAGATATGTAGTTTTGAGGATTTCTTAAACTTCAGACCGTATGATCTTCCATTCCCTTTTATTTTGGGACAGCTAATGGGATCAATATTCTAAACCATATACTTTGGGTGGATATTGGCTTTTAGGATAAAGTCTGTACTTCTCAAGGTCACATTTAAGGTCCTCCCAGGACCTGGTCCAAGGCCACCCTCCAGCCTCATCTCACAAACCCCTGTCTCCATCTGTCCCAGGGTTCAATTCCCGTGCTTCCTCCCCCTAGACTTCTTAGTGTCTAGCATCTCACTCCATGCTAGGGTATATGGGGTTCTTTGAGCTGTGACGTGGAGAGAAAACAAGGATTGAGGAAGAATGTCAGAAACTTAACAATACAGCCTCTATTTGGGAGAATGTTAAAAACACTCTATTAGTGACGTGGCTGATTTGAAAAATGGGAAATGATGATTGTGCGACTAATTGAAAGCCATGTGTTTACCGAGGCTCAAAGAATCCCTTTTAGAAATGGGAACTGGGCCCGCATATGCCAATGAGCAAGGCAAAATGGGTGCACGTTGCAAACAAAAAGTACCAAGAAATGCTGGGCAGAACCAAAGATATCAATGTAATTAATAAAGTAATTAACATGCACAGGAAGTGCAAAAGCTGCCAGGAGGCTGATAAGAGAGGGTTATTAAAAAAGAATGAGCAGTGTAGCAGGGAAGTGAAATTAAGTTTTGCATTTTTTCTTTATCACAGACCCCCAAAATACTCTATGAGTAATAAATAGGCCTTGACTTACTGCAGACATACCAATGAGGCTGGGGCCAGAACTGCCTGGTGACCCTCTCCCTGGACAATAAACACATCAATTCATCAGTCAGCCAGTCACTGAGAATGTGGGGAAGTCCAGTCGACTAGGAGACAGGGGGTATGGTGGGTAGCAAGGTGGTTAAAGGTGCCAGCTTTGGAGCCAGGCTGCCTGAGCTCTAATCTCAATTCTGCCACTTACAAATGAGGTGACCTTGTGGCCACCATGTAACCTTATCATTACCATCTGTAAAATGGGGCTAGACATAGCACCTGTCTCATAGGATTGAGGATTAAATGGCCCAATATGTATAAAGCCCCTAGACCAGCGAGTGCCTGGCCCGAGTGAAACCCCACGTGGCAACCCACTCAAGAAGCAGCTCCCTGATGACATATGCACTCAGAAAAGGTTTCAAAGATTCACCAAGGAAGGGCAGAGCAAGCTGGTGTCTCCTCAGGTCATTTCTGCTGTGGACAGTCACCAGGGTGTTTGTAGGAATGGTTTAAACTGGTAGCTTGTCCTTAGTCACCTATCTGACTCTGAAAGTCCAGGTAAATCTATGCCTTGGTTTCCCCATCAGGAAAATGAGAGATTTGCTTAGATTTCTTGGGTCGTTTCCGGCTCTGAAATTCTATGACTAAACACCTAGTCACACAGACAATTGTTAATTATGGAGGGAGCAAAACCAGCCCTGCCTGGGGGCTCCTTCTCCTCCTCTGCTGCCTTCAAGCTCTATTCCAGGCACAAGGGTCCTCTTGGACCCTTGGGCTGGAAGCTGCAGAGTCATTGGGCTACTGTGCCTATACACGTCCCTAGCCACGTTCACCCACCCTGAGCCCTGTGGCTTGGGCCCCTGAGGCATCTCACCAATGGGGCATCTCGGCCCTGCCCTTCGGGGCTCATTCTCTCTTGCCCCCTCACTGTACCACCTCCTGAGCCTGTCCCTCTATCAGAGTGCTTTGTCTCTCCCACTCTCATTTTTTTCTTTTTCTCATACAGCAAAGCTGAACAGTACAACACACCCTTGTGTATTCTCCTCCAGGAGTCAATGATGGCTAACATTTTGCCATATCTGCTCCTCTCTCCCTTCCCTCCCCATCTCTCCTCTCCTCTCCTTTTCTTCTTCTTCTCTCTCTCTCTCTCTCACACACACACATGCACACTTTCCCTCCTAAACTGTTTGAAAGTCAATTGCAGACTCCATGACACTTCAGCATGAATGTACATAACCACAATATTATCATATCTATTAAAAGTAAAAATAATTTCGTAAAATTATCTGACAACCAGAGTAGGCGTTATCAAGAGCTCATCACATTCTCCACTGCTGAATTTCCTGTATGGCTCTCCAGTGCCTCCAGGTTAAAGTCCAAGCTCCCTCCAGCCCTGCATCTACTTTCTATCGGCAAGCTGCCAGACCCAACCAATTCTTGAACTCTTCTCCAGATACACCCTACATTTTCCTGCTCAAGGGGTTTCATCTACCTGGAATATCGACTCCTTGAGGTTTTACCCATCTTTTGAAGACTTGGCAAAAATTCTATGTTGTCCAAGAAACCCTCTAAAATCACTCTAGTTGAAATGCATGCATCTTTCTTTTCATATCTCCATGACACCTGAGAAGCAAATGTAATGACATATTTCATACATGGAGGAGAGCAGGGACAAAAAAATCACAGAAATGGAACTGATCCCTGATCAAACTGTGCCTGAAGTCCACTTTACTGCTGGACCTTTTCAAGATGCCAATATATTCCCTCTATTGTTTATGCCAGTTTGAGTTACTTGCAACCGACAACATCTAACAGATACTACAGGTATTGGACCCGACAATCATTTAGCCTTCTAAAGCTGTGAAGCCACAGAAGAAAAATATAGTGCATCATGCTCCAGTATTGGACACTTGCTCTTCTCCAAGAGCATGTCCCCCTCTCTCTACCTTTGCTTTCACTGTTTCTTTACCTGGAATGTCCTTATGTATCTTTTCCTGTCTTTTTCTTTTTGAAAGTGAGGTAAGATTCACATAGCACAAAATTCACAATTTAAACCATTTTAGGTGTATAATTCAGTAGTTTTTAATATAGTCACAATGCTGTGCAATTAGCACGGCTATCTCATAGTTTTCATCACCCCCAAAAGAAACCCATATCCATTAGCAATCACTCTCCATCTCTCCTTCCCTAGCCCGAAGCAACCACTAATCTAGTTTCTGTCTCTGTGGATTTGCCGGTTTGGGACATTTTACACCAATAGAATCATACAATATGTGGCCTTTTGCGTCTGGCTTCTTTCACTGAACATAATGTTTTCAAGGTTCATCAACGTTGTAGCATGCGTCAGTACTTCATTCTTTTTGCAGCTGAGTAATATTTCCCTGTATGGATAGACCACATTTTGTTTATTCATTCATCAGCAGATGAACATTTGGGTTGTTTCCACTTTTTGGCATTATAAATAGCTCTCCTATAAACATTCATGTCTATGTTTTTGAGCAGATGTTTTCATTTTCCTTGTGTGTATACCTAGGAGTGAACTTGCTGGGTCTTAATAGTAACTCTGTTTAACGTTTTCAGGAAAGGATGAACTATTTTGCACAGCTTCTGTTTTCTTTATCCAAATCCTATTTGTTCTTTGAAGACTTGGGGGAAAAGTCCCTCTTCTTTTTTTTTTTTTTTTTTTTTTTTTGTGAAACATTTCTCAAGGCAGGATGAGCAGCCACCTCCTCTGCGTTTCCACAGGGCCCCGGGCGGAGCTATTCTAGCACTTGCCACCTACACTGCCATTGTCAATTAACTTGTCCCCCTGGACTGGGGGAGTCCTGAGATCAGGGGCTGCACCTAACCCATCATTGTGGCTCCAGCATCTGGCACATAGTGGGTGCCCAGTAAATGTGGGTTTGGCAGATGAATGAATGACACGTGTCTCTCTAGTGGCTCTATGGTGCACCTGAGCTCCACGAAGTCTTCTTCATAACAGAGGACAGGCTGTGCTGAGCACCTCCTGGATGTGCGAGCCAGTGAGTGTGGGTGGGGCAGAGAGCGTGGAGCATGAGAAGGCACATGGGAAGTGGGAGTGGGAGCATGCATACATTTTAACCACACATGCGGCAAGTTCACAGACTGCCTTGGAATGAGCCAAATGAGACTGATCCAACCTGCTCATGCCTAGAAGGGGGAAGTGAGGACAATACACATGGACAAAAAGGTAGCAAAGAGCCTTGATCACAGACAGGTGCTGGAGATAACAACAGTCCAGCCCTCAGGCTGGGATAGAGCTCTGTTGCCTATGGAGCAATTTCCCATCCATCAGCTCATTTGACAGTCAGCATGGGGTATGAAGGAGCCGAGCTTTGGGGATTAGCAGGCCTGGCTTCTCACCTCTGAGCCCCACTTGCTACCTATGTGATTCAGAGCTCTCCAGGTGCTCCCCTGCAAAATGGAAACAGAACACTCTCTGCAGCAGAGTCTGCAGGATTAAATGAGTGGATGGCCATGGAAGTGCACTGGAAGGTGTAAATCTATCCTGCACGTTTGCTCTTGGCAGCAGTGCACCTCAGGACCTGGGAGGTTGGCAGGGTAGTTATGTCAGTTTTCTTAGGGAGTCAGGAAATTCTGGGGCAGGGAGTGGAAACAAATCAGACTGATTGACCTCCTTCTATGTGCCAGGCTCAGAACTAGGTACTTGAACATGTTATCTCAGTTAATGACGCTCACAGTAAACCTGTGAGGGAGGAATGAACTTCCCCTATGGGCACTGGGGCTCAGAGAGGTTAAGTCACTCACCCAAGGTCACGCAGCTGGGAGGTGGCAGAATCTGGTCCAAAACCTTGTATCATTGTGTTTACAGATGCCGCACTGTTCCTCCAAAGCACACAGTGCAGGGGCCTGGGCTGGTGACTGCATTCTATTTCCTTGGCATGTGAATGCATTTCCAGAAGCCTGCCATATATTTTTAATAATTGGTATGAACATGCAATCTCTCGTCAGCTGGCTTCCCGTCTGCTGTAAGACGCAGATAAGAAAGAAAGAGCCTGAACAGACACAGGAAAATCCTCCACGCCCATTGGCGGAAATCATGCAGGCCCTGAGTACCTTTCTCACTTTAATTCTTCGAGTCTTCTGTGTCTGAATCGTGGAAGAAAATGACTTCTTGGGTAAAATATTAAAACGCCACATGTGGATGTTCATAGTCTCGCTCTGGCAGCCCTGGTAATAATGGCTCAGAGAGGCCTCTGCAGCCTGGGTCTGGGAGTCAGATTTGATTCCTCTGAGATTCCTGAGCCAGGAACACGCTGGGCTGGGCTCAGGGGTCCCAGTGGCAACGAGTCAGACACAAGAAGATGGCAATGTGAAGGGCTGGCTTCCGTGGGCTCTGCAAGGGTTCAGGGCAGAGCAGCCAAAGGCCGGGTAATAAATGATGCTCTGTATGAGGGCTAACCTTCATCAAGTGCTCTCCAGGTGCTGGGTGTGGGCAAATCTTACAGGCATCCCTTCTAGTCCTCCCCAAAGCTCAGTAAAGTGGGCACTTCTCCTATCTAGGCCCATTTTAAGGCTGAAGCCCTCAGAAATGATACTCATTTTCTAGAGCTGTTGTAACAAACTACCATAAATTGGGCGGCTTAAAACAATAGACAATTAATCCTTGCACAGTTCTGGAGGCCAGAAGTCCAAAGTCAAGATGTCCGTTGGGCTGTGCTCCTTCTGAAGGCTCAAGAGAAGAATCCTGCCATGTCTTCTCCAGCTCCCGGTGGCCCCAGGCATTCCATGCTGTGGCTGCATCATTCTGCCTCCATCTCCGCATGGCCTTCTCCCCTGTGTCTGTGTCCCTCTATGTGTATTTTTTATAAGGACACCTGTCATCGAGTTTAGGGCCCATCCGGGTAATCCAAAATGATTTCTTCTGAAGACCCTTAACATAATGACATCTGCAAAGACCCCTTTAGCAAATAAGGCCACATTTCACAGGTCCAGGGGTAAGGATGCATATATCGTTTAGGGGGAATGACAATTCAGCCCAGTACACTAACCTAACTTCACACAGTAAGTGGCTGAACTGGGATTTGGAGTTAAGCCTAGCTCCAGAGTCTACTTGCTTAACCACTAAGGGCTACATGTTGTATATTTACCAGCTGTGTGACCATGGGCATGTTATTTAACCCCTCTGTGCCTCAGTTTCCTCATCTGTAGACTGGGGATAATAATGGTAATTCCCACATGGGGTTGTTGTGAAGACTGAATGAGTTGATAAAGCAAAGAACTTGGAACAGTGCTTACCACATAGCATGCACTCAAGAAAAGCTGTTGCTATGATTATTTTTGCTATTGTTACTCCTAAGACAATGCAGCTTTGTTGAAATCCTAGAAGAAGGCTGAGTAGATCTAGTACTAAGGATGAAGCGGGACTGGAAGGTGAAGCTCTCAGATCTAAACTTGCTGGATTTGAATATCTGTTCACTCTCATGAACCATCAACCAGATAATCACAGATGTGAAAGAGATTTAAGCATTTGTAAGAGAACATTATGCACAATTGGAAGCTAATAATTTTGAAAGCATCAATGAAGAAAAAGAAAACAAAGGGACGGATGCAAAAAGAAGCAGGAAGTGTGAATGGATCAATCCCAGTGGAAGGGATACTGACTCATCCAATACCACAAGGCTTGGGCTGGGTTCCAGTTCTCATGCGTAGCAAGCAAGGTTATCTCAGGCCAGTCAGGTCACCTACTCAGCTTTAGTTTCCTCTGATGAATCTCTAAAATGGGGATGTCAAGGTGCTTTGTGAACTTTGCCATGCTGTTGAAATGTGAGACACTGTTGTCATTATTATAGTACGTGTTTGCTTACTATTGGGTGCTTGCATGTGAGTAGGGTAAGCCTGGAGTTGGGGTACCAGTCCAGAGAAGGGCAAGAGTATGGGTGGGTGGGCTGGGAAGTGAGATTTGGGCAGGACCAGCAATGATCGTGTTTCTTCTGGCTGCTGTCCCCTAAGGGGTGGTTCACAGGTTGTCTCAGCCTCCTCTGACATGAACAGAGCATCTTTGGGGCATGTTAAATGTTTCATCCTTTGTCAAGGACAAAACAACTCAGTATTTGAAGCTTAATCCACTATCGCTTTAGGGAGAAACTTCAAGCTAAACAAGGGCAGAAAAGAATGAACATCCCACCACAGGGCTGGCGGTTCCTTTCCGAGCCACCATGAGTGCTGAGGTGCCTGGACACTGTGGTTCCCTTGTCCTTTTTTCTTCCCTGTTGGTTTCTGTGGTCAGTGGTTTCCTTGTGATTGTAGAGCACTTAGAAACAAACCTGCCTAAAGTTCTGGTGTGGAACTTGCTCACCCTCTGTCTTCCCATTGCAATGAACAATGCTGCAGAAATAGAAACCTCATAGAAACCTCCCTTTTTTCCTCTTCCTTGCTCTCTCTCTTCCACTGGAGAAACAATTGTTCAAATGCTAACACAAAGATTTTCAGAAAAATATGAGACCAGAGGGCCTGCGTAGCTCTTTGGGGTCTGCACACATGAACTCCCCAGGTGGGCCTCTCTCTGAGTCTGTAATTCTTTTGTCATCATCATCATCTCTGGCTGGCAGGGACCAACTGGACTTCAGATTTTCTGGATTCAGCCTTTTCTTCTTTTACTTTCTAGTCGTAAAAATTTATTGTCCTGAGTCTATTTATCACCCTGGTATCCAAGGTACAGTCTTGGGCCCTTCCTAGAGATTCGTGAGAGTCTGGACCAGAGAATCTCAACTCCGGCTGCACACCAGAACCCATGGCAACTTTAAAAAATTCCTGATGCACAGGGCCCTTTCTAAGCCAGTTAAATCAGATATTTTGGGGGGTGTGACCCGGGCCGGTATTTTCAAAAAGATCTTTTCTGGGTGATGTAGCAGGATTGAGAACCACGAGTCAAGTTTCTCTTTGAAATCATTCAACAACAACAACAACAACAACAACCAAACTTCCTCTTCACCTTTAAAACATTACTTATTTTTCTTTTTAGTATCAACATATTCATCCAATAGTTCAATCCAGCTACTGAGCAACCACATTACCTACTCAGCTGTTGTCAGTGCTGACAAGAATCATGCCAGGGAAGCTTGTCCATCATCCATTCATTCATGCACGCATTCCTTTGTTCATTCATTCACTCATCCATTCAACCAACATATATTGAGCTGTGTGTCTGTCTGGCCCTGTGCAAGGCCATGGAGAAAGAGCTCTGAGTAAGATAGTTAAGGGCCCTGTTTCATGGGGCTCACATTCTAGTGGATGATAGAATATAGATGAGAGAACGAGGAATAAGCAATGTGATGGAGAAACAGGGGAGGTGAGAAAGAATGTTGGGGGACATTTAAGGATCTGGTGATCAGGGAGGTGGCATTTAAGCTAGATCTGAATGACAGGAAAGAGTCTGAAAAGGTTTGGAGGAAGAGCGTTCCAGGCAGAAGAATCATGAATGCAAAGGCACAAAGTTGGGAATAAAGTTGGAGTGTTAGAGCTCCAGACAGAAGGCCCACATGGCTAAAGACTGGGGTGAGCACAGGGAGAGGAACTAGATGAAGTCAGATATGGAGTGGGACTGGATTGTGTAGGACCTGTAGCAAGGTAAGAAGTGTGGGTTTTATTTTAAATTGGAGAATTTTAAGTGCAAAATAGTAAGATACGTCGTGCGTTTAAAAAAGATATCTGGCTGGGCGCAGTGGCTCATGCCTATAATCCCAGCACTTTGGGAGGCCAAGGCGGGTGGATCACAAAGTCAGGAGTTTGAGACCAGCCTGGCCAATATGGTGAAACCCCGTCTCTACTAAAAAATACAAAAATTAGCCAGGCATGGTGGCATGTGCCTGTAGTCCCAGCTACTCGGGAGGCTGAGGCAGGAGAATCGCTTGAACCCAGGAGGCAGAGGTTGCAGTGAGCCAAGATCACGCCACTGACTCCAGCCTGAGCGACAGAGGGAGACTCTGTCTCAAAAACAAAAAAGTATCTTCCAGAATGGCAGATGTAAATCCTGCCTTTCCAGTAATTACATAAAATGGATTAAACACTCCAATTGAAATGCAGAGATTGGCAGAATGAATTAAAAAAAACATGATCTGACTATATTTGCTGTATATGTGACTCACTTTTGATTCAAAGATATAAGTAGGTTGAAAGTCTATCCGAGAATTTTTTGGCTATTCAGGAAAATGGAATATGAAGCATACAAATTGGAATGAAAGGAGCAAAACTCTCTATTTGCAAATTATATAATCTTATGGGTAGAAAATTCTAAAGAATCCACCAAGAAGGCTGGGTTCAGTGGCTCACACCTGTAATCCCAGCACTTTGGGAGGCCAAGACAGGTGGATTACCTGAGGTCAGGAGTTGAAGACCAGCCTGGACAACATAGTGAAACCCTGTCTCTACTAAAAATACAAAAATTAGCCAGGCATGGTGGTGGGTGCCTGTAACCTCAGCTACTCAGGAGGCCGAGGCACGAGAATCGCTTGAACCCGGGAGGCGGAGGTTGCAGTGAGCCAAGATTGCACCAATGCACTCCCGCCTGGGTGACAGAGTGAGACTCCATCTCGGAAGAAAAAAAAATTGCTGAAAGAAATTAAAGAAGACCTAAATAAATGAAAAGATAGCCCATGTTCATGAATTGGAAGACAATATTCTTAAGATGGCAATACTCCCCATATTATCTACAAACTCAAATCAACGCTTATGAAAATCCCAACAGCCTTTTTTACAGACATGAAAAAACTGATCGTATAAATCATATGGAATCTCAAGGGACCCTGCATAGCTAAAACAATCTTGCAAGAGAAGAAAAAAATCAGAAGACTCACACTTCCAATTTTAATTGCCACAAAGCTACAATAATCAAGTCAGCATGGTGTTGGCATAAGGATAGACATATAAATTGGTGGAATAGAATTGAGAATCCAGAAATACAAGTACACATCCATGGTCAGCTGATTTTCAACATGGGTTACAAGACTATTCAATGGGGAAAGGATATTCTTTTCAACAAGTGGTGTCCAGGGGCGGTAGCTCACGCCTATAATCCCAGCACTTTGGGAGGCTGAGGTCAGGAGTTTGAGACCAGGCTGGCCAAGAGCCTATTTTTTTAGTCTCTACTAAAAAAACAAAAATTAGCCAGGCATGGTGGTGGGTGCCTGTAATCCCAGTTACTCGGGAGGCTGAGGCAGGAGAATTGCTTGAACCTGGGAGGAGGAGTTTGCAGTGAGCTGAGATTGTGCCACTGTACTCCAGCCTGGGCGACAGAGTGAAACTCCGTCTCGAAAAAACCAAAACAAACAAGTGGTGCTTGCACAGCTATATATCCACGTGCAAAATAATTAATTTGGATCACTACCTCATACCATGTACAAAAACTAACTCAGAATGGATCAAATACCTAAATGTAAGAACAAATAGTATAAAACTCTTAGAAGAAGACATAAGTGTAAATCTTCATGAGCTTGGATCAGACAATAGTTTCTTAGCTATGACACCTAAAGCAGAAATAATAAAAGAAAAAATATATAAATTGCACTTTATCAAAATTAAAATTTTTCATGTGTCAGAGGACATTATTGAGAAAATGCAAAGACAACTCACAGAATGAGAGAAAATATTTGTAAATTATATATCTGACAAAGGCCTAGTATCTAGAATATATAAAGAACTCTTACAACTCCACAAAAAACAGATGAATAATTCAATTAAAAATGGGCAAAGTCTCTGAATAGACATTTCTCCAACAAAGATACATAAATGGCCAATAAGCATGTAAAAAGACACTCAGCACCATTAGTCATTAGTTATTTGATAGTCATTCTCATCAAAACCACCAGAAACCTTTATACTCACTAAGATGGCTATAATCAAAAAGGCAGATAAATAACAAGGATTGGCAGCAATGTGGAGAAATTGGAACCCTCATATATTGCTGGTGGGAATGTAAAATGGTGCAGCTACTGTGAAAAATTGGCCGTTCCTAAAAATGTTAACATGAGTTAACATGGTTACCATGTAGCCCAGCAATTCCACTCCCAGGTATATATCCAAGAGAACTAAAAGCATATGTTCACACAAAAATTTGTGCATGAATGCTCACATTAGCATTATTCATAATAGTCAAGAGTTGAAACAACCAAAATATCTATGAAATGTTGAATGGAAAAACAAAATGCAATATATTAAAACAAGGGGATATTACTTAGCCATAAAAAGAAATAAAGTGCAGATACATGAAGGAACCTTGAAAACATTACGCTAAGTGAAAGAAGCCAGGCACAAAAGTCCATAGATTGTTTGATTCCATTGACATGAAATGTCCACAATAGACAAATCCATAAAGGCTGAAAATAGATGAGTGGTTGCTAGGGACTGGAGGGAAGGGAAAAAGAAGGGGTGATGGATAAAAGAAGGTTTCTTTTTGGGGTGACAACGTTTTTCTCAAATAAGATAGTGGTGATAGTTGCACAGCTTTATGAATAGGCTAAAAACCACTAGGGTATACATTTAAAGACTGAATTTTATGATATGTGAATTATATCTCAAAAAAAAAAAAAAAAAAGAAACAAAAAGAAAAAGATCCCTCTGTCTGCCAGTCAGCCATGCAGAGAATGACTTGGAAGGAGCAATGAGCTGGAGTCTGCCTTGGAAAGCTATGATTACATCCACCACCACAAACAACTCAGTGACTTCAACAATAAAGGCTCTTTATTCACCAAACCACTTGCTCATTTTGCACCACCTGTAGCCTTGCCTCATTGCACCCCAACTCTGGAATGGCAGATGATAAGAGATGACGGTGGTGTGGACCCCAGTCACAGCAGTGGAGGCAGACAGAAGTGATGGATTAGGATGTGATTTGGCAATAGCGTCTGCAGAACAGGTACAAAATTTTTCAGAGAATAGCCCATAGATCTAACAAGATTTCTCTAAGGTGTGTTTCCTCAGTTATTCAACTAATATTATTTATTGAGTATGTACTATGTGCCAGGTACTTTTTCAGATGTTGAGGATATAGCAGTGAATGAAACACAACCCTCCCTCCCCCTGTATTCTCATGGAGCTCACATTCTAGTGAATGGTGTGGTATTTGTACAGCAACCAAAAGCCAGGGGAATATGCTAGTGTAGTCATCATGGCTGAATAGCAATACCTGGTTCTCTCTTTCCTTCTGGGCACACGGTAGGATTGCTCTTCCCTGGCTCACTGAACTCGGGCATGGACATATGATGCATTCTGGGCAATGAGATATGGGTAGAAGTGACATGTGACACTCTGGGGTGGAAGCTCAAAGCTGGCACACACTTTGCCGCACACTCTTTCCCTTTGCCACCAGCTGTGTCCCGGGGTAGGACACCATGGTGGGGGAAAGCTGCAGCTGGTTCTCAGTGGACAAGTGCTGTGATGAAAAAAGAACATTTATTGCTTTAATCCAGTGAGGGGTTTTTTTTTTTTTTTTGTTACTACAGCAAAACCTAGCAGACCCTGACTAATGCATGTTCTCTCTCACTTCTTTGCCCTCTGAGAGACATTAACCCAGATTCAATCTTAGTTCATACTTTAGAAAATTAAGTCCAGTGTCTCAGCACAGTAACTTAAACTTAAAACCAAGTGTTTGGAGGCAAATGTCATCAAGAGGGTACTGTTGCTGTTGTTTACAATCTATTCTGTGTGTGTGTTTCTCTCTCTCTCTTTTTTTTTTTGAGACGGGGTCTCGTCATGTTGCCCAGGCTAGTCTTGAACTCCTAGGCTCAAGTGATCCTCTTGCCTTGGCTTCCCAAAGTGTTGAAATTACAGGCATAAGCCACCACGCCTGGCTCATGCCTGTGTGTTTCTCTGATAGCATCAACCACAGACCTACCAGCAGCAAGCTGGTAACACCACCCTTTATGGACATACCTAATCTTGCTCATCAGACATGCAGTACGTAAGGGAGCATGGCAGACAATGGGTACCCCATAAATGCTGAAGGAGCACCCTGATGATGAACCATTTACCAAGAGGTAGGTTGGTTGGAGTTTACCCACAGAAAAGAGGGAAGGTCTTCATGGGGACTGCAGCCTGTATTTCTGCCAACATGGATGTGTGGCATTGGGTTAAAAATAATAAAAATTTAAAGACTCTTTTTGCTCAGGAACAAAAATGGCTTTAACAAGACAAATACAGTGGTCAGAAGAAGCCAGGATGTCACACAAGTTTCCAATCATTCTGTTCATGACACTTGAGAATTTCTAGCAAACAGCTCATGCCCTGAAGAGTTCCTGGACAGGTAGAGATGGAGAAGTTCCAGCTTCAGGGCTGGCCCTGGTGCTGTGGCTCTGTCTTTTGTGATTTGTGTCCTAATGGGCCTCTGGCTGGCCCCATGTGCTGCCCACAGACATAAGGGAAGCCAACAAGGAAGATGAAATCAACTGCAATCTCTCGTGAATCCAACACACCTTTCCACACAAGATGTTCCAGAATCGCGGCGGTGGCTGGCAGAGCTATTCTGTCCATACACTGGGCCCAGACACATCTGTGCCCACAATGCTGACTGCAGAGCCGAGCCGAGGCTGGGCCAGGATCCATGCCAGAAGGCACGTGGCTGTGGACACCCTTAAAATGTCTCTCTGGCATATCATTCCAATTAAATCTCGCCTGAAGTTCTTGTTTTAATAACTTAATCTAGAATTTACACCTTGCCTCCTCTCCCAGAGGGCTCAAGACAGCACACATTAAAAGCCTAAATACAACAGGACAGTTAAAAATAAAGACGAATGATCAGAAGGTGAGATAATCCTCCAGGAACCTGAGATAAGATGGTTATTGCGGCTGAGCGTTGAATTTGGCTCCAACTTTCTGGCAGCCAAGGTTAAAAAGAACACAGAGTGGCTTATCCAGTTACGATTGCCTGATGGAAGGAAGGAAGTAGATACAAGTTCACGGAGAGAGCACAGCCCATTTCCTGGTACTCAGTTCCACGAGGACCTAACCTGTGGATCTTTATCTCGGGGACACAAACTGAACAACATCCTTCGTAGTAGATGCTGAATCATGCTTCACTTGGCAGCCTCAGCCCCAGAAGTGGGCTCTTGACAAAAGGTGAGGGTGTAATATTAAATTAAATTGCAACTCGGCAAAGACATTTCTTCGAGAAGCCGGCTTAATGGGCCCAGACAGATGGGTTGAAATTGGACATATGGAGGCATGGGGAGAGCTCCAGGTGGAGGGAATAATTTAGTCAATAAATATTTACTGAATACTTACTTTGAGCCAGGCACTGGTGGTGGGTGCTGGGGACACACAGATGGCCATGGCCTTTGAGGAGGTCACAGACAAGAGGGGACCGGCACACAGACAGACAATGATCAGTTCTGTGACCAGAATGAGGGTGAACAGTGTGAGATGGAAGCACAGGACACAGGTGTCCATCCAGGCAGCCCATGTGGTCCACAGGCCCCTGGAGGAGATGCTTCTAAGCTGCCTCTCAAAGGTCAAGCAGGGATTTTACATATGAAGATGGCATATTGGGGGTGGAAAGGGGGTGTTCTGGGTAGAAGGTGCGCAGGCATAGAGGAAGAGAGTGGGATGCTTTGGAGAAGTAACAATAGCTCAGGGTAGCTGAGCACAAGGAACAAGGAAGGGGGTTGTGAGAGATAAGGCTAGGGAGGCGAGCCAGCCGGATCATCAAAGGCCTCCTGAGCTGAGCTAAGGAGTACAGACTTCATCCTTTAGCTGCTGGGGAAAATTTTAAACAGGAGAATGATGTGGTTAGAACTTCAGATGGGGTATGGTCCTCCCTAGGAGGAGTTGGCCAGGCTAATGGAGGCAGCCCATGGGTAATGGACCAACCAACGGCCCCTGTGGAGTTCCACTGCCCTGCCTGGACCATGGTCTGCATCTGGCTGGGGCCCCAGCCTGGCCATCCAGGGCACCATGGATAACTATGTGTGACAAGACCAGCCTCACTCACTGTTCAGGGCTGATGGCTCCAGCAGTGAGGACCCATCACTTGGAGTGTGACCCTTAGCATCCAAAGCCTTTGGCCACCAGGCCACCTGTGAGCAGCCTACTGGGTAGGGCAGACCCTGGTCTCCAGCACTTCCCCCACCCAGGCCATTACAATGTCTCTTTATTTTCAAATGAGTAGCGTGAAGTCAGGCTTGGACAGGCTTTATGAAGATACCAGCTGTTTCCTGAAAGTGCCTGCTTTAGGATTGACTTTTTTTCCCCCCAGAGCAGCTGTAGAGGGAGATAGAAGGTAAGAGTTGAAATTATTTAAAACTCTATGTGTTTGCCTCTTCCAATATCTGTTTCCATAGAAACATAACTGGTATAACCACCAGGCTCAAAGCCAAGTGTAGTTCCATGATTCCAAATCCCCTGTGTGCTTCCACAGAAGAATGGCAAGACTACGGAAGCTGGAGGAAAGTTCTGAAATATCCCTTTGTCCCAAATGGCCCTTAACTTGATTACTGCTCAAATGGCCAGAAAGCCACAGAAGCTAGAGTGTAGGGAATTCCTGACATAGGTTGCTTGGCATCCTGTGGGGACCAGGATGAGAGAAGACTTCGGGGTGTGCAGGCAGCCTCAGGATCCTGCCACAGTGGCTGCCCTGTGGTTCCGTGGCTCACCTGGGTGTTCAATATTCAGTGACCTTGAGTGCTGTCTGCCATGTCGCTCCATTTCAAGACCATTTTGGAATGGTCAGGTGGAGGTGTAAATGGTGGCTTGCTATGAAAGGAAGGCTTGGGAAAAAATGAACAACCCTCCACCTAGGATCACACCATCTGTATGTACTGAGTTTACTTTTGGGGAAAATTATCTCAAATTATTTTCCTTAAAAGAAAAGAATCCTGGCCGGGCGCGGTGGCTCACACCTGTAATCCCAGCACTTTGGGAGGCCGAGGCAGGCAGATCATGAGGTCAGGAGTTTGAGACCAGCCTGATTAACATGGTGAAATCCCTTGTCTACCAAAAATACAAAAATTAGCCGGGTATGGTGGCGGACGCCTGTAGTCCCAGCTACTCAGGAGGCTGAGGCAGGAGAATGTCGTGAACCCGGGAGGTGGAGCTTGCAGTGAGCCGAGATTGCCCCACTGCACTCCAGCCTGGGTGACAAAGCAAGACTCCGTCAAAATAAAAAAAAGAAAAAAAGAAAAAAATCCCATATGGAGGTGTGTGCATATACTCACACATACATACTGTCAATTCGTGGCCCTAATCTTACTTGATCTAAAAGCAGCATTTGACGCAGTTCATCAAAACTTCCTCCTTGAAACACTTTCTTCATTTGGTTTCCAAGACACCAAACTCATCTGATTTTCTTCCTATTGCTGAGCTTCTGCTAGGTCTTCTTTGTCAATTTCCCCCACCTTTCCAGTCTCCAAACATGCACAGGATCCAGGGTGAGTCCTTGGTCCCCTTCTCTTCTCCATCGCTCTGACTGCTCTTGGTGCCCTCATCCAAGATTGTCATTGCCATCCATAAGCTGCCCCATCTGAGTTCCCATCTCCAGCCCACACCTCTCCCTGAACTTCAGATCCGTATGTCCAACACCTACTCACCGTCACCACAAGTAGAGTAGGTGCTCAAAAAAGAGAGCTATTTTCCTTTTTTCCAAGAATACAAATCATATTTTAAAAACCTTTTTAACATATTTGGCAGGTTTATCTACACCTGCTATATCTGAAATGCAGAAACAGCCAATCTTTCCATCAGACTCTAAAGAAGAGGAAAGGCTGAGATGGGATGCAGGAGCACTGAGCACAGGGCCAGTTCATGGGACACCTGTCAGTCCTTGCCTCAGTCTGGGGCATTTGTCTCTGGAGCCCTCACTCTCCCTTTTCAAATTCTTCCATTTGTGAATGGCTCTCTCTTGACCATCTGCCTGGGGACAGCTCTCTCTCCTGTCCCCTCACCAGTGATGGTTCTCTCTCCTGGTATCCCACTGCTTAAAATTCTCCTTCCCTGGCTCGTCCTCCTGTGCGCATGGCTGTTTAATCACTCAGTGATTCCCGGGGCTCCTATGGGGACTTCTTCACTTCTCACTGCACCCACTTTCTCTGGGTTACTACACTCACTCTCATGACTCTATCCTCAATGTGCTAACTAGCTGCTTCCCCACAAATCTCTACCGACTGGACAAACTACTCTTTTGTCCACTGGGACCCTGCAGCCCATCTTCTTAGCCCTTTTGCCTAGAAGGCCCTCAGGTGACTCAAACTTATGGCCAGAAATGAATTCCCCATGTTGCCTCCCAAGCCCATTCTCATTCCACACCTGCCTTAATGAAGAGGTTCCCCAAGCACCCCAGGCAGAAATCTGAGCATTGCCCTCCCTGCCCCCATATCACTACCCCTTAGAGTCAGTCAATCACCACGTCTCGTCATGTCTGCTCCCTACATAGCTCTCAAATCCACACCCTTCTCTGTTCCCACTGTGACTGCCCTGGCTTAGGTCGCCATCAGCTTTTGCCTGAATTACTGCAAAAACATCCAGCTATCACTGGGCTTCCAGCCTCGCCCCTCCATCTGTTCTCACCGTGCAGCCAGGGCAAAGCTGATCATGTCACTCCCCTGATGAGATATCTTTAATTTTGAAGTTTAAACTCCTCTTCTTAGCACACAAGATCCCTAACAATCTTAGCTCTGCCTGAGTCATCATTCGACCTTCCTCTAATTTCCTCAAAGGCATCCTCAGTTTTGGCCATCAAAACTATTCAAAACTATTTCATAGTGGCTTTTTAACTTTTTAAGAAAAGAAAAGATACATTAACCTACTTAATGGTGAAAAACTAGATGCTTTTCCTGAAGACTGAGAACAAAGCAAGTATGTCCCCTCCCACCACTCCTATTCAACATTGTACTAGAAGTTCTAGTTAATGCAGTAAGTCAAGAAAGGAAATAAGAAGTATACAGACTGGGAAGGAAGAAATAAAATTGTCTCTGTTTGCAAATGACATGATCGTCTATATAGAAAGTCCCAAAGAATCAACACAAAAACTCTTGGAACTAACAGGTAATTATAGCAAAGTTTCAGGATATTAGGCTAATATACAAAAATCACTTGCTTTCCTATACAGGCACACCTCAAAGATACTGCAGGTTAGATTCCAGACCACTGCAATAAAGTGGATATCTCAATACAGTGAGCCACACAAATTTTTGGTTTCCCAGTGTACATAAAAGTTATGTTGACACTATACAGTATTCTATTAAATGTGCAGTAGCATTATGTCTAACAAACAATATACATACTTTAATTAAAAATACCTTATTGTTAAAAATGCTAATGATCATCTGAGCCTTCAGTGAGTGGTAATCTTTTCGTTAGCGGAGGGTTTTACCTCCTTATTGATGGCAGCTGACTGACCCACGTGTGGTTTCTGCTGAAGGCTGGGGTGGCTGTAGCAATTTCTTAAGATAATAACGGAGTCTGCTGCATTGATTGATTCTGCTTTTCGTAAATGATTTCTTTGTATCATGCAATGCTGTTTGATAGCATTTTACCCACAGTAGAACTTTCAAAATTGGAATCAATCCTCTCAAACCCTGCTGCTTTATCAACTAAGTTTATGGAATATTCTAAGTTCTTTGTTGTCATTTCAACAATGTTCACAGCATCTTCATCAGGAGTAGTTTCCATCTCAAGAAACCACTTTCTTTGCTTTTCCATAAGAAGCAACTCCTCACTCATGAAAGTTATTTTTTCCTTTTATTTTTAGTTGACATGTAATAATTGTACATATTTATGGGATACAGACTATTTTGGTGTGTGTATAAAATGTGTAATAATGAAATCAGCATAATTAGCATTCCTATCACCTTGAACATTTATCATTTCTTTATATTGTGAACATTCAAAATCCTCTCTTCTAGCTTTGTGAAAATATATAATAAATTATAG
Organism: Homo sapiens; assembly: GCF_000001405.40. Classification (NCBI taxonomy): domain Eukaryota; kingdom Metazoa; phylum Chordata; class Mammalia; order Primates; family Hominidae; genus Homo; species Homo sapiens. Next base: position 98,346,628 of record NC_000009.12, read on the forward strand.
TTAACCGTATTCATCCTGCAGTGCTGCAGAACACGGGAATTCATTCCTCCAGTCTAGCTGTAACTTTGTATTTGTTAACCAACCTCTCCCCATACTCCCCTACCTTCTACTCTTTCCAATCTCCAGTACCCACGATTCTACCCTCTTCTTCCATGAGCTCAGTTTTTTTTTCTGCTTCCAGATATGAGTGAGAACACATGGTATTTATCTTTCTGTGCCTGACTTATTTCACTTAACATAATATCCTCCAGGCTCATTCATGTTGTTGTGAATGACAGGATTTCATTCTTTTTTATGGTTAAATAGTATCCCATTGTGTATATATACAGCACATTTTCTTTATCCATTTTTCTGTTGATGGACATTGAGGTTGATTCCATATCTTAGGAACTGTGAATAATGCAATAAATATAGGGGTGCAAGTATCCTTTTGATATATTGATTTCCTTTCCTTTGGATAAACACCCAGTAGTGGGATTGCTGAATCATATGGTAGTTCTATTTTTAGTTTCCTGAGAAACCCCCACATTATTTTCCATAATTGTTGTACTAATTTACATTCCCACCAACAGTGTATAAGAATTCTCTTTTTTCTGCATCCTTGCCAACATTTGTTACTTTTTGTCTTTTTGAAAATAGCCATTCTAACCGGGGTGAGATGATACCTCACTGTGGTTTTGATTTGCATTTCCTTGATAATTAGTGATGGTGAACACTTTTTCATGTATTTGTTGGCTATTTGTATGTCTTCTTTTGAGAAATATCTATTCTGATCCTTTGTCTTCATTTTAATCAAATTATTTCATTTTTTTCCTGTTGAGTTCCTTGTATATTCTGGACATTAGTCCCTTGTTGGATAAATAGTTTCCAAGTATTTTCTCTCATTTTACAGGTTGTCTCTTCACTCTGTTGATTGTTTCCTTTGCTATGCAGAGGTCTTTTCGTTTCATATAGTCCAATTTATCTATTTTTGTTTTTGTTGTCTGTGCTTTTAAAGTTGTAGCCATAAAATCTTTGCTTAAACCAATGTTTTGAAGCATTTCCCCTATATTTTATTCTAGTAGTTCTATATATTCAGGGCTTACATTTAAGTCTTTAATCCATTTTGAGTTGATTTTTGTGTATGGTGAGAAATAGGGGTTGATATGGTTTGGTTCTGTGTCCCCACCCAAATCTCACCTTTAATTGTAATAATCCCCACATGTCAAGGGTGGCGCCAGGTGGAGATAATTGAATCATGGGGGCAATTTCCCCCATACTATTCTTGTGATAGTAAGTAAGTCTCACGAGACCTGATGGTTTCATAAATAGGAGTCCCCCTGCGCAAGCTCTCTTGCCTGCCACCATTTAAGATGTGCCTTTGATTCTCCTTTTCCTTCCACCATGATTGTGAAGCCTCTGCAACCATGTGGAACTGTGAGTCTATTAAACCTCTTTCCTTTTTAATTTACCCAGTCTTGGGTGTGTCTTTATTAGCAGTGTGAGAGCAGACTAATACAGGGGTCTAGTTTCATTCTTCTGTATATGAATATCCAGTTTTCACAGCATCATTTATAAAGAAGGTGTCCTTTCCCCAGTATATGTTCTTGACACCTTTGTCAAAAATCAGTTGGCTATAAATATGTGGATTTATTTAGGGGCTTTCTATTCTGTTCCGTTGGTCTATGGTCTGTTTTCATACAAATATCATCTGCTTTGGTTACTATAGCTTTGTAGTATATTTTGCAGTCAAGTAGTTGAATGCCTTCTGCTTTATATCTTTTGCTCAGTATTGCCTTGGCTATTCAGGGTCTTTTGTGGTTCCATATGAATTTTCAGATTGTTTTTTCTATTTCTGTGAAGAATGTCATTGACCTTTTGATAGGGATTACGTTGAATCTGTGGACTGCCTGGGGCAGTATGGTCATTTTAACAATATTAATTCTTCTAATCCCCGAACATGAGATGTTTTTGCATTTCTTTGTGTTCTCTTCAATTTCTTTCATTGGTGTTTTGTAGTTTTCATTGTAGAGGTCTTTCACTTCCTTGGTCAATTTATTCCTAGACATTTTTTGTAGCTATTATAAATGAAATTGCTTTATTTCTTTTTCAGCTAATTTGTTATTGGTGTATAGAGATACTACTGACTTTTACATCTTGATTTTCTATCCTACAACTTTACTGAATTTATTGATTTGTTCTAAGAGTACTTTTGGTGGAGTCTTTAGGTTTTTATAAAATATATAAGATCATATCATCTGCAAAGAGGAACAATTTGACTCCCCCCTTTCCCTTTTGGATGCTCTTTATTTCTTTCTCTTGCCTAATTGCTCTGGCTAGGACTTCCAGTACTGTGTTAAAGAAGACTAGTGAAAGTGAGCATCCTTGTCTTGTTTCAGTTCTTAGAAGAAAGGCTTTCAGCCTTTCTCCATTCAGTATGATATTAGCTGTAGGTTTGTCATAGATGGCCTTTAGTATGTTGAAATATGTTTCTTCTATGCCTAATTTGTTGAATTTTTTTTTATCATGAAGGGATGTTGAATTTTATAAAATGCTTTTCTGTATTTATTTAGATAACAATATGGTTTTTGTCCTTCATTCTCTTAATGCAATATATTACATTTATTGATCTGTTTACGTTGAATCATTCTTGCAACCCTAGGATAAATCCCACTTGGTCGTGGTGTATTATCTTTTTGATGTGTTGTTGGATTTGGTTTGCCAATATTTTGTTGAAGTTTTGTTTTTTTTTTTTTTTTTTTTTTTTTTTTTTCGGGACAGAGTTGCCCAGGCTGGAGTGCAATGGCATGATCTCGGCTCATTGCAACCTCCGCCTCCTGGGTTGCAAGCGATTCTCCTGTCTCAGCCTCCCAAGTAGCTGGGATTACAGGCATGCACCACCAGGCCTGGCTAATTTTTTTGTATTTTCAGTAGAGATGGGGTTTCACCGTGTTGGTCAGGCTGGTCTCGAACTCCTGACCTCGTGATCCGCCTTCCCTGGCCTCCCAAAGTGCTGGGATTACAGGCGTGAGCCACTGTGCCCGGAGAATATTTTTTCATCTAGATTTTTAAATCTATGTTCATCAGGAATATTGGTCTGCAGTTTTCTTTTTTTATTGTGCCCTTGTCTGGTTTTGGTATCAGGGTAATTCTGGTCTGGTAGAATGAATAAGAAAGAATTTCCTCCTCTTCAAATTTTTGGAATAGTTTGAGAAGAATTATGTTAGTTCTTTAAAAGTTTGGTAGAATTCAGCAATAAAGCCATCTTGTCCTGGGCTTTTCTTTGTTGGGAGACTTCTTGTATGGATTCAATTCTGTTACTCATTATTGGTCTGTGTAGGTTTTCTATTCCTTTCCGATTCAATCTTGGTAGGTTACATGTGTCCAGAAATTTACCCATTTCCTTTAGGTTTTCCATATTGTTGGATATAGTTGTTCATAATAGTCTCTAGTGATCCTCTGTATTTCTGTGGCATCAGTTGTTATGTCTCCTTTTTGTTTCTCATTTTCTTTATTTTCATCTTTTTTTTCTTGTTTAGTCTAGCTAGTGGTTTATTGATTTTATCTTCTCAAAAAAAAAAACCCCACAAGTTCTCATTTTCTTCATCCTTTGTATTTTTTTAGCCTCTATTTCATTTAATCCTGCTCTGATATTTATTTCTTTCCTTCTATTAATTTTGAATTTATTTTGTTCTTGATTTTCTGGTCCCTTGAGGTGCATCATTAGGTTATTTGAAATTTCCCTACTTTTTTGATGTGAGTGTTAATTGCTATACGTTTCCCTCTTTGCACTGCTTTTGCTGTATCTCATAGGTTTTGGTATGTTGTGTTTTCATTTTTATTTGTTTTAAGAAATATTCAAATTCCTTTCTTAATTTCTTCATTGACCTAACAGTTGTTTAGGAGTATGTTGTTTAATTTCCATGTTTCTGTACAGTTTCCAAGGTTCCTTTTGTTATTGATTTCTAATTTTATTCCACTGTGATTTGAGAGATGATTGATATGATTTCGATGTAAAAAAAATTTGTCGAGACTTGTTTTGTGGCCTAACATATGGTCTGTCCTGGAGAATGTTCCATGTGTTGATGAGAAAAACGTGTATTCTGTAGCCATTGGATGAAACGTTCTATAACTGTCTGTTAGGTCCATTTGGTCTACAATGTACATTAATTCTGACACTTCTTTGTTGAGTTTCTGTCTAGATTATCTGTCCAATGCTAAAAAGTGGGGTGTTAACATCTCCAACTATTATTATATTGGAGTCTACCTCTTTCTTTAGCTTTAATAATTTTTTTTATATATCTGGGTGCTCTGGCATTGGGTGCATATTCACAATTGTTATATCTGCTTGATGAATCGATCCCTTTATCATTATGTCATGTTCTCCTTTGTCCCTTTTTATGTTTCTGACTTAAAGTATATTTTGTTTGATATTTGTATAGCTAATTCTGCACGCTTTTGGTTTCCATTTGTGTGGAATTTTGTTATCCATTCCTTCACTTTCAGTCTATTTATATCTTTTTCAGGAAAAGTGAGATTCTTGTAGGCAGCTTATAGTTGGCTTTTTAAAAAAAATCCATTCATCCAGTCTATGTCTTTTAATTGAGGTATTTAAACCATTTACATTCAATGTTGTTATTGATAAGTGCAGATTTACTCCTGTCATTTTGTTAATTGTTTTCTGATTGTGTTGTATATCCTTTGTTCCTTTATTCCTCTTTTATTATTTACCTTTGTCTTTTGGTGGTTTTCAATGGTGCTAACATTTCATTTCTTTCTCTTTCTTATTCGTGTCTCTTCTCTACCAGTGAGTTATACTTTTGTGTGTTTTCATGAAGGCAGATACCATCCTTTCACTCCCAGATGTAGGAATCCCTTAACCATTTCTTGTAGGGATGGTCTAGTGATGATGAATTTCCTGTTTTTGCTTATCTGGGAAATGGCTTTATTCAAATTTAGAAATTCTTTCTTTTGCTTGATCTAGTCTATTTTTGAAGCTCTCAATTGTGTTTTTAAATTTCATTCATTGAATTCTTCAGTTCTAGGATTTCTGTCTGGTTCCTTTCTTAATGATATCTATCTCTGTGCTGAATTTCACATTCAGATCTCAAATAGTTTTCCCAACTTCTTTGTGTTTGTCCATCTGTGTTGTCTTGTATCTCACTGAATTTCCTTAAGATCATCATTTTGAATTTCTTTTCTGGCATTTCATAGATTTCCTTTCTTTGGAATATGTTATTGGAGAATTATTGTGTTCCTTTGGAGGTATCATGTTTCTTTGCTTTTTCAAATTTCTTGTATCCTTACATTGATATCTGTGCATCTGGTATAACAGCTGCTTCTTCCAATTTTAGGGATTGACTTTCATGGGGAAATAATTTTTCCTGTACATGTGTCTATAGTGTTGGCTGGGTAGGGTACTTTGGCTTTGATTCTGAATGGGCTTAGTAGTGTAGTCTCTGTATGATTTCTTTGGCTGTAATCAACATCAGTGATTGCTGTGAATTTCTCAGTAGCTTAGGCTGTAATTATTAGTGGAGGCTATGTTGAGGCTTTACTGGAGATAAGGACACCAGGCAAGCTGGTCCTGGGGCTGGCCCCTGGGTGGCATGTAGGGGCACTGGTGGTGGCAGTTGTCTACTGGGTGTGCCAGTCCTCAGGTCCCCAGGTATTGTGTGTGGACATCAGAAGTGTCAATGGTGGGCCTAGGTGGAATGGTCCTTGGGCCCTTAGGCAGCTTGCATAGCCACCTCTGGTGGCAGAAGAGGTGGCTGGTCAGTCCTAAGGCCACCAGGTAGTGATAATGGTTGGGTGGGTGGTGCTGGAGGGCTGGGAAGGCCAGCCCTAGGGCCCCTATGAAGTGCTCATGGATGCCAGTCATGGGCAGGGTGGACTAATACTCAGATTCCCAGATAGCACATGTGGGTGGTGATGGCAGCAGGCAGGGTGGACCTGTCCTCAGGTCCATGGATGGTGTGCATGGATGCTGGTTATGGTGAGTGGGACAGACTGGTCCTCAAGATCCCTGAAGGTGTCTGCAGGTGCATGAGGGTCCTGCTGCTGGAGGGGGAGGGGTTATCGGCATCCCCAGGCAGGCAATTCTCAGGCTCTGGGGAGAGCATGCTTTGGGTCCCTTTGTCCTGGGGGTAGCCTTCCTGGTGTGGTACATTGATGTTCTCTGGGGCATAGGACGCTGTGTGGGCTAGAGTCCTGGGGACCCGGCTGTGCCACAAGTTATGGCTGGTGTCATAATGCTGCAGCCCTCTGGGTGGATGTGGGGGAATGTCAGTTGGGCTTCAGTATGTATAGATGTAGGGGCTTTTGGGCCCTAGAGCAGGATATATTCTGGTGGGTGCTGGGCTCTCAAAATGGTGTCCTGATGCAGCAGCTTGGGTTTTAGGGGGGTGAGTGAATGGGACCCAGAGTGAAATCCTCTGGAAAATGCAGTTGTATGGACTCCAGGCAGCTCCCTATACTAAGCTAATGGCCTGTGAGTACTAAGGAGCTCTCCTTGGCTAGTATTTCAGGCATCTGTGATGGGAATGCGGACCACTAAAGATCTATTTTCCCCACTGTGGAGAGTCCCTCCTGGCTCTGAGCTGATCCTGATCTCTCTTAGATGCTGTATTTGGTGTATCTTGTTAAAGTTTTATCATGAGATTGCAGCAATCCAGTCACATCTTTAGGCTCCACTTCTAATTCGAATTATCTTGCTATTTCCACCAGATCTGCAGTTACTTCCTCTGCTGAGGTCTTGAAACCCTGAAAGTCATCCATAAAAGTTGGAATAAACTTCTTCCAAACTCCTGTTAATGTTGACATTTTGACCTCCTCCCACGAATCTCAGATGTTCTTAATGGCATCTAGAATGGTGAATCCTTTCCAGAAGGTTTTCAATGTACTTTGCCCAGATCCATCAGAGAAATCTCTATCTATGGCACCTATAGTCTTATGAGATGTATTTCTTAAATAATAAGACTTGAAAGTCAAAATTATTCCTTGATCCATGGACTGCAGAATGGATATTGTGTTAACAGGCATGAAAACAACATTCATCTTCTTTTACATCTCCATCAGAGCTCTTGGGTAATCAGGTGATATGGTTTGGCTGTGTCTCCACCCAAATCTCACCTTGAATGGTAATCCCGATAATCCCCACATGTCAAGGGTGGGACCAGGTGGAGGTAATTGGATCATGGTGGGGGGGGGTGGCGGAATTCCCCCATGCTGTTCTCATGATAGTAAATTCTCACGAGATCTAATAATTTTATAAGCGTCTGGCATTTCCCCTTCTTGCACTCACTCCATCTTGCCACCCTGTGAAGAAGGTGCCTGCTTCTCTTTTGCCTTCTGCTATGATTGAAAGTTTCCTGAGGCCTTCCCAGCAATGCAGAACTGTGAGTCAATTAAACCTCTTTCTTTTATAAATTACCCAGTCTCAGGTATTTCTTCATAGCAGTGTGGGAACAGACTAATACACCAGGTACATTGTCAATGAGCAATAATATTTTGAAAAGAGTATTTTAATTAATTAATTTATTTCTGAACAGTAAGTCTCAAAAGTAGATTTAAAATTATTCAGGAAACCATGCTGTAACAGATGTGCTGTCATCCAGGCTTTGTTGTTCCATTTATAGAGCACAGGCAGAGTAGATTTAGCACAATTCTTCAGGGCCCTAGGATTTTTGAAATGGGAAATGGGCACTGGCTTCAACTTAAAGTTACTACCTGCATTAGCTCTTAACAAGAGAGTCAGCCTTTCCTCTGAAACTTTGAAGCCAGGCATTGACTTCTCTTCTGTGGCTATGAAAGACCTAGATGGCATCTTCTTCCAACATAAGCCTGTTTCATCTCCATTGAAAATGTGTTGTTTAGTGTAGCCACTTTCATCAAAGATCTTAGCTATATCTTCTAGATAACTTTCTGTAGCTTCTGTATCAGCACTTGCTGCTTCATCTTGCACTTTTATGTTATAGAGATGATTTCTTTCCTTTTAAATCTCATGAACCAGCCTCTGTTAGCTTTTAATTTTTCTTCTGCAACTTCCTCACCTCTGTCATCCTTCATGGAATTGAAGAGATCTAGTTCACTGAGATTTGATCAGGCTTTGACTTAAGGGAATGTTGTGGCTGGTTTGATCTTTTATCCAGATCACTCAAATATTCTCCATATCAGCCATAAGGCTGTTTTGCTTTCTTATCATTCATGTGTTCACTGAAACAGCACTTTTAATTCCCTTCAAGAATTTTTCCTTTGCATTCAAAACCTGACTGTTGAGTGCAGTCGGCCTAGCTTTTGGCCTATCTCTGCTTTCAACCTGCCTTCAACCTGCCTTCCTCACTAAGCTTAATCATTTCAAGATTTTGGTTTGAAGTGAGAGATGTGTGACTCTTTCTCTTACTTGAACACTTAGAGACAACTGCAGGGTTATTAACTGACCTAACTTCAATATTGTGTCTTAGAGAATAGGGCAAGGAGAGGAAGAGAGATGGAGGAACAGTGGGTAGAGCAGTCAGAACGCACAGAACACTTAACAAATAAAGTCTGCCCTCTTATCTGGGCATGGTTTGTGGTACCCCAAAACAATTACAATAGTAACAGGAATGATCACTGATCACAGATCACCATAATAGATATAATGATAATAAAAAGATTGAAATGTTATGAAAATTATCAACATGTGACACCGAGACACAAAGTGAGTAAACGCTATCAGAAAAAATGGTGCTTATAGATTTGCTCAATGTAAGGTTGCCATAAATTTCAATTTGTAAAAAATGTAAAATCTGCAAAGTGCAATAAAGTGAGGTATGCCTGGACCAGAAATGAGCAATTGAAATTTGAAATTAAAAACGCAATCCCATTTACATTAGCACCCAAATGAAATGAAATAGGTATAAATCTAACAAATTAGGTAAAACATCTACATGAGGAAATCCACAATACTCTAATGAAAGAAAATAAAAAAAGATCTAAATAAATGGAGAAATATTTCACGTTCATAGATCAGAAAACTCAGTATTGGTAAGATGTCAATACTTCCCAACTTGATCTATACATTCAGTGTAATCCCAATAAAAATCCCAGCAGATTATTTTGTGGATATCAACAAACTAATTCCAAAGTTTACATGAGTGGCAAAAGACCCAGAAGATCTCACACAACATTAAAGAACAAAGTTGGAGAAGTGACATTCCCTGACTTTAAGACTTACTATAAAGCTATGCTAACCAACATAGGGTGGGATTGATGAAATAATAGATCAATGTAATGGAACAGGGAGCTCAGAAATACACCCACACAAACACAGTCAACTGATCTATCACAAAGATGCAAAGGTAATACAATGGAGAAAAGATCGTCTTTTCAGCAAACAGTGCTGGAACAACTGGACAACACGCAAAAGGAGTCTAGACATAGACCTTACACCTTTCACAAAATTTTACTCAAAATGGGTCACAGGCCTAAATGTTAAATGTAAAACCATAAAACATAACAGAAAAAAATCAAGGTAACTTTGTGTTTGGCAATGAGTGTTTTGATACATCAAAAGTATGATCCATGAAAGAAAAAAGTAATAAGCTCGATTTCATTAAAATTTAAAACTCCTGCTCTGAAAAAGACAATGTAAGAGAATAAGACAAACTGAGAGAAAATATTTATGAAACACATATCTAATAAAGGACTTGCATCCAAAATATACAAGGACCTCTTAAAATTCAACAATAAGAAAACAACCTATTTAAAAAGTGCACAAAAGTTCTGAACAGTCTTCTCACTAGATGGCAAATAAGCATATGAAAAGATGCTCAACATCATATGTCACTGGGGAATTGCAAATTATAACAATGAGATACAAGCACACACCTATTAGAATGGCTAAAATCCAAAACACTGACGACACCAAATGCAGGCAAGGATGTGGAGCAACAGGAACTCCCATTCATTGCTCGTGGGTTTGCAAAACGGTATAGTCACTTTGGAAGACGGTTTGGTAGTTTCTTACAAAACTAAACATCCTCTTACCATATAATCATAACTTGCACTCCTGGGTATTTATCCAAATGAATTGAAAATTTATGTCCACACAAAAACTCACACATGAAAGTTTGTAGCAGCCTTATGTATAATTGCCAAAACTTGGAAGCAACTAAGATGCCCTTCGGTGGGTGAATGAATAAACAATCTGTGGTACATCCAGGAAATAGGACATTATTCAGTGATAAAAAGAAATGAGCTACCAGGAAATAGGATATTATTCACTGATAAAAAGAAATGAGCTATCAAACCACAAAAATATATGTAGGAACCTTAAATGCATATTACTAAATGAAAGAAGCCAGTCTAAAAAGGCTACATACTCTGTGATTCTAACTATATGACATTCTGGAAAAGGAAAAACTATGGATCCGTGGTTGTCAAGGATTAGTAAAGCACAGAGGATATTTAGAACAGTGAATCTACTCTGTATGATATTGTAATGGTGACTACATGACATGCATTTGGCAAAGCCCGTAGAACAGTGAACCCTAATGTAAACTATGGACTGTAGTGACGAATAATGTATCAACATTGGTTCATCATTTGAAAAAATGTACCAGACAATGCAAGATATTAATAACAGGAAATTGTGGGGGTGGGTGGAGGGTACATGAGAACTCTTTGTACTTCTGTTAACTTTTTCTGTAAACCTAAAACTACCCTAAGAAATAAAGTCTATTAAGTAAGTATAAATAAAATTTAAAAAATTAAATACATCTGCTGGGCATGGTGGCTCATTCCTGTCATCGCGGCACTTTGGGAGGCCAGGGCAGGTGGAATATTTGAGCCCAGGAATTGGAGACCAGTCTAGACAACATGAGGAAACTCCGTCTTTACAAAAAATACAAAAATTAATGGGGTGTGGTGGCGCATGCCTGTAGTCCCAGCTACTTGGGGGGCTGAGGCTGGGGGATCACCTGAGCCAGGGGAGGTGCAGTGAGCCGTGATCTTGCCATTGCACTCCAGTCTGGGTAACAGAGTGAGATCCTGTCTCAAAACAAAACAAAACAGACAAACAAACAAAAAACAACAACAAAAAAAAAAACCCCACATCATAGTTTCTGAAGAGGAGATATAATGTATATGTACAATTTGAAGAACAGAATTGCCAGAGCCTTACAGGACCTGTGTGCCTGTCTCAATCATATCCTCCTATCCTGCCCACCAAGAAGTAACCACAATCTTGAATTCTGTGTTAAAAATTGCCTTCTTCTTTTTTTAAAAAATGGTTTTGCTACCTATGTATGTATCCTTAAACAATATTCTGTTCAGTTTCTCCAGTGTTTGAACTTGAAGCGTGTGAAAGCCTGTTTTGGGTATTCATGCGTGACTTGCTGTTTTTGCTCATTGCTGTGTTGTTGAGATGCCTCCAAACTGATGTGTATGGCTGTGGCTCATTCATTCCCACAGCTGTATAGCCTTCCTTTCTTTGAAAATACCATAGTGCACGTATCCATTCTGTTCCTGTGGGCCATTTAGGATGCTATCAGTTTTTGGCTGTTATAAACAGTGCTGCTGTGAACACCCAGGCTTGGGTCTCCTTGGGCATATGTGTGAGACTTCCCCTAGGGATGTGTCCTAGTGGAATAGCTGGGCTGTGGGGCATGTGCATCTTTGACATGACTCATGTCAAATAGTTTTCCAAGTGGTTGTGCCAATGTACACTGGAGTAGCACTGTGTGTTGTGTTTGCTGCCTGTGTCCTCTCAGCACTTGGTTCACTGGACACACTGCCTGCTCTCTAAATGCAGCGGCCTCTGCCTGAGTGCTCCCATACCAGCTCAGGCCTCCTTGGCTTTCAGCTGAAAAGTCTTCTTTGACCCTATGAGGCCAGACTGGCGTCCCTCCTCGGGCTCCACAGCACCCTGTACCATGAGGGTTGTGAGTTAGCCACTGACTTGTCTGTCTTCCTAACTGCTCTAAGGGGTCCTTGAAGGAAGGGCCACATCTCATTCACTGCTGTCTCTCTGGAGTCCCTCACAGGGCCTGATGCATAGCTGGTGAAAAAGGTGAGAGTGAGGCTGGAATCACTTTGGGGCATGAGGAGGCTGTGGGGTGCTGAGCCATAGCTGGAGGCTTGGCAGTGGCAGGGGCGTCATGGAGTCAGGCTCCAGGACCACAGCCACACAGTCAGCCTGCCCTGAGAGGGACTGTGTGTAGCCCCTGAGAGAGGAAAGAGGCGGTGAAACCAGAAGTCAGGACCTCCATCCCCTGCCTCAGGGACCCTTTCCACCCGTATGTGGGGTTGGGTGGCAACATGGTTGAAAGCAGACCACCTGGGGTGGAATCCAGGCTCTGCCACTCACTGGCTGAGTGACCTGGGCCAGTCACTGAAGGTCTCTGTGTCTCAGTTTCCTCATCTATAAAATGGGGGCAAAAATATCTCCTACCTCACAGGATTATTATAAAGATTAAATTAAATGAGTTCATATTTGTAAAGCATTTAGAACAGTACCTGGCACATGACGAGTGCTACAGAAGTACTTATGACATATAAATGGCTGGGCGAGGTGGCTCACACCTATAATCCCAGCACTTTGGGAGGCTGAGGCAGGTGGATCAATTGAGGCCAGGAGTTTGAGACCAGCCTGGACAACACGGTGAAAGCCTATCTCTACTAAGAATACAAAATTTAGTCAGGCATGGTGGTGCACACCTGTAGTCCCAGCTACTTGGGAGGCTGAGGCATGAGAATCACTTGAACCCAGGAGATGGAGGTTGAGCAGCGAGCCAAGATCATGCCACTGCACTCCAGCCTAGGTGACAGAGTGAGACTCTGTCTCCAAAAAAATAAAATAAAATAAAATAAATCGATCAATATTTATGGCACAGAAATGAATAAGGATGGGGGACTGGGCTGCCCCCAGTAGGCCTCTAGGGGACTTGCATTCCAAGGACCCTTGAGTATGCTCTCTCAGGGTGAATTGCTTCCATGGGTCCTTCCTGTTATTCTCAAGCCCTGGGTTCTGTTTATTTCCCTCTCACTGCTTTCAGAGTCGACAGTGATCTGAAGTGATACGGTTATTCGTCTGCAGGTTTAGTCTGCTCCCTGATTTGCCTGCAGGCTGCCATGAGGCTGTGGCTGCCATGGCTACCTGTGTCTTCCCATGGAAGATGCCGGCCGTGGCGTGCTTGCTGGGTGGGCTGTGTGGAGGCTGGCTGAGACATGGCCCTGTCCTGGAGAAGTTGCTTGCTGGGAGTCCTGACTGGGGAATGTTTGGGATGCTGGGGGAGGAAGTGAGGCAGAGCAGGTTCTCGACTCCAGCGGAGCCAGTGAACACAGGGACACCTCTCCATAGGAGGTAACACTGGTGCTGAAACTGAAGTCATATACTTGGCAGAGAAGATTCTGGAAGGGGACACAGCATGAGCAAAGGCTAGGACGCGTACCATATTACAAGGCCCATACCTGGAATCCTCAGGTGCTCAGAGTCCGGAGCACACAGGGTGTCTGAAGTAGGTAAGTGGGAGGGAGGGATGGGCCACAAAGGTCTTTCATCATCTCTCCCCCAAGCCTAGGCTTTCTGTTTGGAGATCCTGGACAAAACAGCCCCTTGAAGGAGACTTTAGGATACCTCAGGCCCTGGGCACACTGTTCAACTACCCTGTTGTGTCTGACAGAGGAGGGTCTGAGAGAAACCAACGGCTTGGTGCTGTTTGTAGAAAAACGACAATAAACAGGGCTGTGGGTGGACAGATCAAAGGGTTCTGTTACCATAGCAACAGAGGGACAGGCCAACCCTAAAATAAAAGAAGAAAAGTAGGCACCTGCCAGAAAAGGTTCTGAGAGAAATCTCAGCACACCCTGCAGGGAGACACAGGAACAGCCTATCTGGGCCTTGCCTTGGACAATCTGGGTGACCCTGGGCCCTGGATAGCACCTTTCCAGGCTCTGTTTCCTTATCTACACAGAAAGGCACTTCTGCAGCACCCTGGGACTCCTCAGTTTGAGAACCATAGCCTTGGAAAGTCTGGAATGTGCTAGGGTTCTATGCACAGAGCCATTGATAGCAGCAGTGCTTATTACAGAATAGAAGGAAGGCAGGTAAGAGCCATGATAGCAAACCATCAGCTAGACACATCAGACTGCACAGGTTTACCTTGTTTAAACGGTCCAGTAGGACAGGCATCCCCACTTCCAGAGTCTGTTGACTCTGGCACTGCTGGTGTCTCCCCACCACAGCTGGAGCCTTGGGAACCTCTCGTAAATACTCAGCTCCCACCTTCATCTAGAATAGAGGCGGCAGCCATTCAGCCTCCCTAGCCCACTGTTGGGCTCCACACTGAGCCACTGTGCCTCGTTCTGTCCACCTGGTCCAGCTCCAGGCCTTCCACAAACTCTGCCTGACTCACCCTGCTCTTATTTCTTGATCTCCTGGGCCCTCAGTCTGCCCATTATTCTACTTTTTTCTCCTCATCTGTAGAAGGGGAGAACATTTCCCTGCCCTACTCACTTCCCAGATCTGTGGCCAATGAACAAAGGTTTAAGAAAGCCTGTAAAACTGCTAAGAGCTGCCCAGGTGTTGAAAGGCAGGGTTAGGCAGTAGGTGAGAGGGTAGTTAGTGGTATTGTCACTAACCTGCTAGGTAACCTTGGGTAAGTTACACAGCCTCTCTAGGTTTCTGTTTCCTCATCAGTAAAATGAGGTTAAGGACAGCATCTACCTCCCAGAATTGCTGTGAGGATTAAATGAGTTAACGCATGATACCAGCTGTCATCATCATCATCGCTCTTATCATCGTTGCTTTTTATTATCACCGCCACAGTCTCTCCCTAGCTCAGGGGCCCAGTTAGCCAATGATAGCTCTTCCTGGTGTTGACATCCTGTCTGGATTTCTAAATTCTGGTGCTGGGCAGGGAATTCCCTTGGGATGAAGGGGGCATTCCCTTGGGATGAATTGGGACCCACCCAGCTGTTCTGTTGCCTACCTTGCAGGGTGAATGGTGACCAGATGTCCCCCCGTCCAAAAATAGCCTGTCTGCTCGAGTGGACTCAGTTCCTGCCCCCTTGGCCCGTGGGCAGAGCCAGTGTCGGGTCTTTCCTCCTTACCAGTTCTGGTTGTGACTGTCTGGAGTCCCACTTCTATGTGGAAGGTGGTCAGGTGGAGGGACATAGTTCTCAATCTCTTTCCTATATGGCATTCTCTGCTGCTGCTCTGAATGCATGCATAACTTCTTACCAAGCTGAGTAAACACTGTCTCGAGATAAATGAGGCTGAGCATCTTATTTTCTATAAAACCTTCTTGTCTAGAAAGATAAAAGGCTCTGCCCTCAGTGCATAGAATGACCATTTCTGGTTTAGTGTAAGAATTCACACTAAATTCCCACAAAAGATCTCTCTAACAAAGCAGTGAGAGAAACAGAGATTCTTATTTTCTTAGAGTTTGTTACACTCTACCGAAATCCTACCAAATAGCACACCCCACTGCAGCTCAGCTGTAGCCCGCAAAGACAGTCTAACTATTCTAAATGAAAGTCAACAAAACTACAGCGTCCTAAGGGACTCAAAATTCCCTAATCTGGAGAATCCTAGAAAGACCAGTGCGAGTTCAGGGCAAGGCTGACTGCAAGACAACTAAAAATATATTTAACAGTACTTTTATGTGAGGTTCCTTATTTTAACAACAAATATCTGATTTCAAATGTGTGAAAAGAAATATATTGCCCATCACTTTGAAAACAATATAGTATCTAGAAGGAGCTTTCAGAATGTTTACACACTAGTAGCACTTTTTAGGAGATTTACTTTAAAATTGGGATAAATATGCAATGTCATTTCTCAAGTGATGGATCTTATAAATGAAGGCTTCTACAATGCATAAGAATATACTCTTAAAAAGCCCAACATTTCCCATTCATTCTGCGTGTATTAATATTAAAATCAACTTCTTTCACAACACCTTATATTTGGCCTCCCTGGAATTACATGTCTCAAATGGAAGGAAATGGAACTGATGAAGTGTTCCCAGTGGGGTACTGGGCAGTCTGGGAGCTGTGCAGCCTCACTGTCCTCATGTGCCAGGGGCTGCATCTGCAGGCTTCCCTCCTGCCGGCATGGAGGGCTTACCTCCATGCTGTACTTCTCCACTGTCCTTCGCAGGGGGTCCACAGCCTGCCAGCAGATCAGGATACACAGGTCGATCAGCAGCATGCCCCCCACGATCACAAGCAGTTTCTGGTCCTTGATGATCTACAGAGCGGGAAGGAGCAGAGGGGAGCCGATGTGAGAGACAGCTTCCCACGCAGCAACTGGGGGCCCAGGTCATAGGGGGAACCTGCATCATGAACCCCCCAGCCGGAGAGTCTCCTGCGATTCCCCATCACCCACAGGATAAATCCAGCCAAGCTCCTCTGTGTGACATTCAAGGCCTTTCACAAGCTTGACCTTATCACTCCCCAAACACATATGTGCATTTTGTTGAAGTTTGGCCACTCCTAGTCCCTGGCCGAGCTGTGATTTTCACCCTCCAGGTCTCTGTAGGTGCTAGTTCTTTTGTCTGGAATACCCTATTCTTTCTATTTGGCAAACTTCTAATAATCCTTAAACATCTCGATCAATTGTCACCTCCTCCATGAAGTCCTCTCTAACTCCTGCAGCACAACTAATTACTCCATAGCGCTTTGTCCACATACTTAATTATCAGGAGGAACCACAGTAGTAACAACAATGAGAGGAATAGCTAACATTTAATGAACACTTACTCTGTGCCTGCCTCTAGGTTGATGGTTTCAGAGGCAGTGTCTCATATAAAAGCAAATATTGTTATTATTCTTATTTTATGGATGAGCAAACTGAGGCTTAAAAGGGCTAAGTAACTTGCTCAATATAATAAACTTAATAAGAGATGAAGCCTGGATTTGGACCGAGATCTGTTTTCTCCAGAATTCACATCCTCAAACATTTACAGCAACAATCAGAAGCTATATAAAGTTGTATACATGTCTTCCCTCCTCAGTAAACTGGGGAGGCCTAGACAGAAAGAAAGCCCATTTTATTTGTGTTCCCTCAGCACCTACCGGGGCCTGGTATGCAGTAGCTACTTAAAAGTCTGATGAATTGAATTGACATGAAAGAATATAAAAAGAAGAAATATAACTCCCATTCCTCTTTGCAGCCTGGGATATTTTTATTACTCTGTGAGACTCCTACCCCACTTTACGTCTGTTTGATAGGGATCGGCTGGGGGATAAATATTTTCGGTGCCAAAGCTGACCTGTATTTCATTCACTTCATGTTTATATATCCCCTCACTCTCCAGAAAAGCTAATGTGATGGAGTAGTTCTGGAAGAGACTCATGGAAAAACAAACAAAACTCAGGCAGAAGCTTAAGAAATATCACCAGGTTTGGTTTTTAACGATTAAAGCCATTTTTAAAGGAGAAATAAAAACCCGAGGGGCCTTTATGTTACCGAATGTAAAAAGAACACGAGGAAAGTGTGGGCTCAGTGACTGCCAAGGAGATTAAATCCAGCAAAACCGCTGTACCTGGGGGCAGGGCACCGGCAAAGCCCGCTCTGAGATTTTCAAGGATATGGTGAACTGCTGGTGCTTTGCAGAAACCCAGCTTAACTCTCACCCTCTGGGGAACTAGGCAACTCCCTGCCAGTCTTGAGAAACTGGGGCAAAATGCCTAAGGAGCTTAGCAGTTAGGGGATGGGTTGGAAGGAGCCTCATATCTACGTGATGCTGAACATGGGGCTGTTTGAGCCCCCAGGCATTTGTCCAGCTATTCCTGACCCCTGGAAGGCCTGACCTGCACCTTTCTGCTGGCATACTCCTACCCTGATTTCAAGATTGAGCCCAAGCAGCTTCTCCTCCTCCATGAATCTAGGCATACCCTGCAAGGGGCATAGATGGCTTTAAAAGCTGAGCACCAGAATTTTCCTCTTGTAAATGTCATAAAGTAAATCCTTCCAATTTAATGGCTCAAGTATGAAGTCTGAGGAAGTGGATTTTTTTTTTTTTTTTATGGAATCTTGCTTTGTCACTTAGGCTGGAATGCAATGGTGCAATTTAGGCTCACTGCAGCCTCCACTTCCTTCCTGGGTTCAAGCAATTCTCCTGCCTCAGCCTCCTGAGTAGCTGGGATTACAGGCATGTGCCACTACACCCAGCTAATTTCTGTATTTTTAGGAGAGACGGGGTTTCACCATGTTGACCAGGCTGGTCTTGAACTCCTGACCTCAAGTGATCCACCTGCCTCGGCCTCCCAAAGTGCTGTGGTTACAGGTGTGAGCCACCACACCTGGCTGGGGCAGTGGATTTCTAAAGTATTTAAAATTAAGTGGACCTGAGTTAGAATTCTGGCTCTGTTCCTTGATACCTGTGTGACCATGAGCCAATCACTTCCTTGCTCTCATTCTGCATTTCTCATTTGTAAAATGGGCAGGGGCAGGGGGAGGGAGAGAGCAGGAGGGCTTCTGTGTTATTCTCCAAGTAGGTATAAAGGAAAGGACACAGGTTTTGGAAGTAGAAGACCTCATTCTAATCCCAATTCTTGTCAAGCGTGATCTT
Organism: Homo sapiens; assembly: GCF_000001405.40. NCBI lineage: Eukaryota > Metazoa > Chordata > Mammalia > Primates > Hominidae > Homo > Homo sapiens. The sequence goes on from NC_000009.12 coordinate 98,365,164, forward strand.
GAGCAAGCTGCTTAACTTTGCTAGGACTCAGTTTCCTTCTTTTTAAAGTGTGGTCAGTGATCCTTAAATTGTACAGTTAGTATAAGAATAAAATGAGATGAGGTATGGAAAGCATTTAGTACAGTGTCTGGCACAGAGAAGATGATCAACAAATGGCAGCTGGCTACCATTACCTGGGTTTTGACAATTAGTGATTCTGTGTTTATGTGTAAGACACAGTGACATCTAGGGGCCAAATGTGATACTGCACCTAAGCTCTACTAGACACAAGACTAATCATCATGTGTGGATGGGTGCGTGGTGGGAAGATGCTGAGAATCAGAGGAGAGGAAATGGTTATTTTCCTTTTGGCACCATTCACAAACCCTGGCATGTAGCCACTGTTTGTGACTGAATGGGTTTAGGCTAAGTAGTTATGAATCACTTTTTATTTATTAATTGTAGAAATATTTATTGAGTGCCTACCCTGAGTCAGGTTCTGTTCTAGGCACTGAGGATGCAACAGTGGACAAAACAAACATTCTGCCCTAAGAAACATGCATGTTTGTGGGGAAGACTAGTAGTGAAAATTATACAAGTACACCCGTGGGAATACAAAATACAATGTCAAGTAGAGGTGATTTAAAATAATCTTAAATAATGAAAACAGAAGGAAGGAAAGAAAAAAAAGAAGCACTGATCTGAGCACCAGAGACCCCTTGCATTAGGCAAGGCCATCTCCCTATTCTTAGATTCTTTGACTTCCTTCCTTCTCTTAAATGCTGCCTGAACTTCTCTCTGGGTTACGTCAGTACTCACTGATGCTATCACATGCAGTCCTCTCTCTGTGGGTAGGAGGTACTTAGTGGCAGATGAGAGCAAAGGCACCCAGTAATGATTAAGCACCTGGTTCTGGAATCAGATCTAAGTTTGAAATGAACTAACTAGTTGTGTGATCTTGGGTAATTCCCTTCCCACTCTGAACCAGTTTCCTCATCTAGAACATGGGGATAATATTTGCACATCCCACACTAGATTACCAGAGCCTGGCTTACAATAACTGTTCAACAGATCCAGCGATTTTTACTAAATGTGACTTCTGGGTTGTTTAGAGCAGGGATTAGCAAACTACTGACTTGGCCCACCATCTATTTTTGCAAATAAAGTTTAATGGGAACGTAGCCTTGCTCGTTTAAATGAGCGTACCCTCAATTACAAGGAGGGTAAGGTAGAGAAGAGAAATTTACACCTTTACCATACTCATTTAAATGAATGTCATGTGCATATTTGTCTATGGTTGCTTTTATTCTATGAAAGCAAAGTTGAGTAGCTGCAACCATGACAGAAGAGCCTGCAAAGTCTTACCTATTGACTCTCTGGCTCTTTGCAGAAAAACTTGGCTGATGCTTGGTTAAGAGAAAAGGGCATTTCTTCATTTTTTCAAAAAACTTGAGATTTTCTGACCTATTCAGACTGGCCTTCCACTAGGGCCAACTCATTTCTTCAGGGAACACCATTCAGGAGGAATACAGCATGGATGGTGCCCCTGGGGCTGAGCTCTCCTGTCGTCTTTAGATGGCAGATGCTTCATGACAGCTGCTAAAAGCCCTCAGCATTTTCCTTAAGTTGAGCCCAGATGAAAGTCTGAGGGTTTATCCTCAGGTGCTTTTCCCACTCATGTTATTGTCTACAACAGAACCCAGTCATATTTGTAGTGAACTTCCATTGTCCTCAAAAAGCATCTGCCCCCAGAACAGAAGGTGTCATCTCTAAATTTCTACTCTTGTTTCAACACTTCCATTTGGTCCTAGTATGAGGCAAAATAAAGACTGTAATAAAACTCCTCAATTTAAAAAGATTTTACAATTGGTCTTTAGAAAAAAAGTAACATGCTGTAAAAATATGAAATTTGGAAGCATTAAGTCACACGTGTTAATAGCCTTTAATAGCCTTCTTTTGCTTTAATGCTTTCAAAAATGTGGACATATAGGGCATATGGGGTGAAGTTTGTGTATGTATGTTTGGGGAGGGCAAGCCATCATGGATGAGGGAGGAGGGGTGGGAGCTATGCAAAGAAGAAAAGGATAAAAAACTGCATTGAAAAAAAGCAAATGATTGCATTTGCAAATTTATATAAATCTAGTATATATGTCAGTAAAAAAAAAAAAAAAAATAAGGGGGCCACTAAAAAAAGTCCAAACTTCTTTAAAAGAAACAAAACAAGTCAGTCACCAAAGGACAAATATTGTATGGTTTAACTTATATGAGGTTCCTAGAGGAGTCAAATTCATAGAAAGGAGAATCGTGGTGGGCATGGCTGTGGGGAGAGGAAGGGAGAAGAGGGAGTTAGTGTTGAATGGGTATGGAGTTTCAGTTTGGGAAGATGAAAAGGTTTGGAGATGGATGGTGATGATGGTTGCACAATACAAACGAACAACATGAACTGCCAAAGGCTTTCAGTACAAGATTTGGTACTAATTTTGTTGTGAAAATGATGAAGGCTGGATGAGCACATTATTCCAGTATGAGAAACTCTTTGGGGTTACTCTGGGTTTTCTAGTGATTCCAGGAGCCGGTTTGCGGTGCTGTGGTTAAGTATTATTTACCAACCAAATTACAGGAGGGTAAGGTAGAGAAGAGAAATTTATATCTTACCCAAACCACACACTCAATCAGGGAACCAGATTGTTTTGAAAGGGTTGTGACAGGCGTAGTTCAAAAATGGGCTCTTCTTCACAGTTCCAGTTTTTTACATAACCAAGTTGGTTTTTATTGTTACAGTTTTGTTTTTATTGTGGTAAAATGCACATCAACTTTACCATTTTAACCCTTTTTAAGTGGAGAGTTCAGTGCCATTAACTCAATAGAGGTGGCCCTGATCCCCTCTGTGCATGAAGTTTATCGCCGTCATTGCCCTTTCTGTCCCTGACATCACCCTCACCATCCTTGATGTCATTTCCCCCGCTGGTCCTGAGGCCCTCCTCACCGTCACAATCATCTTCCTCTAGATGCCTGGTGACACAATTACCATCCTCTGATGTCCACCTCTGTCACCTTCTAGTCCTCTAACCTCATACCCGTTAAGGGACTGTTTTAATCCCCACTGTCTCTGACATCATTACCCTTAAAAACAAAAGTAGAAAAAAAGTTTTAAAAAGTAAAAAAAAAAAAAAAAAGTAAAGAAACTTTAAAAAGTTAAAAAAGGTTAAAAAAGTGTGTGTGTGGGAGGCTTGTTTCTCAGATAAGCCTCCTCCCTGGATGCCTGGACCCACTGCAAGCCTGAGCTCTCAGAGTTGGCCCAGACCCTTGGCGGGGACCGAGTTTCCCCTAGCTCAGGCAGTGCAGGAGGAAGTGAGCAAAAGCCCATGGCCTCTGGTGACCACACCATATCACTGCCCCACAGGGAGCTTCTAGACAACTGAACTCCTGCCGTTTTCCCAATATGTTTTGTCGATTGTGGCCAGACGGTTGATGTGTTCTTGCTTGGCAGTCATGTTAGAGAGCATAAAGGCAGGTTTCTTATCACAGATGACCATAGGGATGAATCACATATTAGCACAAAGGAACCAATACTGTGCTTCTTCCAAACCAGGATGGAGTTGTCATCCTGGTTCAAGAGCAGAACAGCTCTTAAACCAGAGCCGCAGAGCAGGAGGGGCCCCAGAAGCCACCTAGGCCAGTGGCTCTCCAGCCTTGGCTTGCTTTGGCCAGGGATGGGGAAAACACAGGCTCCTGGGCTCCTCCCAAGGATTCCCGTTCATTAGGGTCAGGGCGGGGCCCAGGAACTTGCATTTCTAACAGCTTGCAGGGCAGCCGCACTCAGAAGCCCTGACCTAGACCACAGGTCCCCAACTTTGGCAGTATATTAACATCACCAGGGAAAGCTGAAAAACTACTGATGCTCAGCTCCAGCCCCAAAGCCCTCATTTCAACTGGCCTGGGCGACTTCCAGTAGTTTTCAAAAGGTCCTCTGGGATTGCAGTCCACAGCCACAGCTGAGGAACACTGGGGTGGCCAGGCCTCTCATCTTACGGAGAGTTGTCATAAATGCTGCCGGGGCCCAGAGACGGCCCCTCCATGCGAGCACAGGGACAGGGTGGCAGAGCAGGGCCCCTTCCCCACTCTAAATGCAGCCTGTGGATTTCCTAAGGTGGTTCGGGTGTGGGGCAGGGGGCAGGGGGCAGAGAACAGAATATACCTCCACCTCATCTGGAGAGGACAGGGGGCTGCAGTCCTGAAGAAGAACCTTGGCAGTGAAGAGGTGGGTGGGGGGCCTGAGGAGTGAGAGGTATCACCAGGGCACCAGGCAGGAGCCCACAGAATCACAGCTAAGGGGACAATACTATGTTAATGTGTCCACATTCTACAGATGAGGACACAGAAGTCCTGAAAGACTAAGAGCTTTGTCTAACACGGCAGATCAGCAGTGGAGCAGAGCCTAGAACTCCAGGCTTCTGTTTAGCCTGTTGGCCTCACTGCTCGGGCTGGGTTGCTGTCTGCCACTGGTGCCAGGTAGCCAGGGAGCAAAATGCAGGCTTGGATGAAAAACCAGAACAACAGGCTCCATGTTCCACTGGGATGAGCCCACAGTGAGGATCTGCAGAGGAGGTGTTGGTAAACAGGTGATGCCCACATCAGGATTTGAAGAGTGTGTGCAGGGGGCTAGGGTGTGGTGGGTGGGGAATTGAATTGAGAAGAAGATTTTTGGTAAGAGGTGTCATGGTACCCTGGTGAGAGAAATGGGTGGACTGGGAGGGAACGCTTCCTCCATGACCTCAAATCAAGGGAGAGGCCTTGGTTTCCAGTGAAAAGGAGATCACTGGGTGGCTTGATAGGAGTCTTTGCAGCCTGGGGGACCCTGTGGACTGGTGTCCGACTCCTGCTTGAGAAACCTAAAGGTGGATGATGGACTGGCCAGCTGCTCTGAGGATGGAACAAAAGAGAGGCAGCTACTACAGTGACATCAACCTTCAGTCCTTGAGTTTGTAGGTGCAAAGGATGAAGGAATGCTTTCTGTGCCCCAGATGTGGGCCATGGGTGAGGGAGAGTTTGTGTGGCCCTGTCCAGGACTAGCTGGAGGGGTGAGGTGACCCCAGGGTGGAGAACTGAAGGGTGCTCAGGAGCAGAGGAAGAAGCCACAAATAGCCAATTGGGGGAGCATTTCACCTGCATCAAGAGGACGGCAGGAGAGAAAGTCCTAGTAATGAGGGACTCAGAAAAGCGCCCCAGGAGTCTAAAGGGGCCACTGCAATCCTTGCCAGGCCCAGTAAGCCCAATGCCAGCTCTGAGCAAGTAAGGTATTTCCTGCCTCTTCCACCACTCCTAATTCCAACTCTGGAGGGGTTGGACACCTGGGTGGATGGGATGATGGGGAAAGAATGCAGGCTGGCCAAAGACAGAAGCGGCCAGCCTATACTCCTTTTCCCAAGGCAGGTGGCCGGCCTGCTGCAGGCCTGAGCTGGGAGAGGGAGAAGTTGTGCCAATCAATGCTGTTTGCAGTTTTGAATATAACAATAGACTCTACATATTATAATAGTTACTAACCAGAGGACCTTCAAGATCACAAGACTTTCACAAATTTTATCCAGAAGAAAGGGGAGCTCCAGTACCACTGCAAGAGTTAAAGAGGACAGTGGTGGATAAAGTTTCTCTATGACTAAGAGTCAAGGTCTGGCAACATCATATCTATACCAAACCGCACGGGTGGCGAATGCGGTCCACGGTGTGAAGGCTGAGCTCCTGTCCTACAGGGGCCTCTTTGAAAATGGAATCATTAAATCAGGTACCAGCCCTGTTTCACTCCTCTCTTTTAAGGGCTCCCTATTGCCCATAAGTTAAAGTGCAGATTCCTTAATGTGGCTCCTGTCTTCCCTTCCAGCCTCTTCCTGTACCCTGTCCCCACAAGCCCTATGCCCCAGCCACACCAAGCCTCTCTCGGCCCCTGACCACCCTCCTCCCATCCCCAGGCTGCCACGGATGGTTCCTTTGACAAGGTCCCCAGCATCCCTATGCCCTTGGCTCAGCCAACTCCCACTCACCCTCCAGGCCCCAGCATAGGTGGCACTTCCTCCATGAAGCCTCCCTTGAGTGTTTCGTACCCCAGCACCCCCCACATGTCCCCAGCCAGCCCTGATAACTGTGTATTACAAATGCTTTGTTAACTGTCCGATTTCCCCAGTAGGGTGAAGGTGGCAGGAGGTAGGGATTGTGTTTAGCTTGGATCCCCAGCAAATAGCTCAGTGCCTGGAATATAGTATATACTTGCTAGATAAATGCTGGGTGAACACTACTAATACCCTGAAACAGAAGGAGAGTGATTACCTTCTTCTTCATTTTCACATTTTTGAAGATGGCGTGGACTCTCCAGGTCTTTGCAAACATGGCCCCAAAAGCGGTCGTGTAGCCCACGGTGAGAATCCAGGTCCTGACCTAGAGGCCATGAGAAAACAGAGGCATTGACCTTCCTTAGGTAGACAGACTTCATCAGGTATGAGTCCACCCTGCAAGGGGACTCTTTATGATGGGGACAAATACTCCCCTCTGCATATAGTTGAGTTTCATTGGCATCTTTCAATCAAATTTCCATTCAATAGGCATTTAGTTCTATCAGCCACTTACCAGACCCAGGTCACTAGGCACACAGGAGTGCAATATTCAAACCATGCCTTAGATGGGCCTAGAGAGAGCCAGACAGAGGGAGAGCCACAGAGGGCCCCCAGGACTGCTGAGATGCTGAGATACCACCAAAAGGTGATGGTCCAGCCCTCTGGCCTTCACTTCCCCTCCTCCCTTCCTTCTTCCTGCTGCCCAGCCCTCTCCCCACATGGTCAGGCCATGTGGCTACTACTGTCCAGTGTCACCTCAGAAGGTCAGTTAGTCAGCATGGGCCAGACTGGCCACTGAGCCCACACTTAGACCTTGGTCC